>NC_000009.12:33949393-34100909 GCF_000001405.40 Homo sapiens | reverse complement strand
CCTAGCACTTTGAGAGGCTGAGGTATGAGGATCACTTGAGGCCAGGGGTTCAAGACTAGCCTTGGCAACAAATCGAGACTCCATCTCTACAAAAAAAATTAAAAAAATAAGGCTAGGCTTGGTGGCTCATACCTGTAATCCCAGCACTTTGACAGGATGAGGCAGCTGGATCACTTGAGCCCAGGTGTTTAAGACAATGCTGGGCAATATGACAAAACCCTGTCTATAAAAAAAAAAAAATGCAAAAATTAGCCAGGTGTGGTAGGGTGTGCCTGTAGTCACAGCTACTCAGGAGGCTGAGGTGAGAGGATCACTTGTGCTCAGGAGGTGGAGGTTGGGATGAGCTGAGATTGCACCACTCCACTCCAGCCTGGGCAACAGAGTGAGGCCTTGTATTAAAAAAAAAAAAAGAAGCTGGGCGTGGTGTCTCACTCCTGTAATCCCAGCACTTTGGGAGGCCGAGGCAGGTGGATCACGAGGTCAGGAGATCAAGACCATCCTGGCTAACACAGTGAAACCCCGTCTCTACTAAAAATACAAAAAATTAGCCAGGCGTGGTGACGGGCCTCTGTAGTCCCAGCTACTCAGGAGGCTGAGGCAGGAGAATGGCGTGAACCCAGGAGGCGGAGCTTGCAGTGAGCCAAGATCGCACCACTGCACTCCAGCCTGGGCGACAGTGTGAGACTCCATCTCAAAAAAAAAAAAAAAAAAGCCAGTCATGGGGGTGCATACCTGTTGTATTAGCTACTCAGGAGGCTGAGGCAGGAGGATCACTTAGGCCCAGGAAGTTGAGCCTGCAGTGAGCTATGATTGTGCCACTATTGCCCTGTCTACCCTGGGCCCCAAAGTGAGACCCTGTCTCTAAAAAAAGAGAGACATAAGGGGGTCCAAGGCTCAAAAAAGGTTAAGTACCACTGCTCTAGAGGGGAGGATTCCCAAGCCCTACTGCCCACTAAAAGTCAGCTGTGGATGCATGCCAAGAGACCTAAACATTTGGCATAGAAAATTACTAAGCTTTGGCCAGGTGCACTGGCTTATGCCTGTAATCCCAGCACTTTGGGAGGTTGAGGCGGGTGGATCATGAGGTCAGGAGTTCGACACCAGCCTGGCCAACATGGTGAAACGCCGTCTCTACTAAAAATACAAAAATTAGCCGGGCATGGTGACGTGTGCCTGTAGTCCCAACTGCTCGGGAGGCTGAGGCAGGAGAATCGCTTGAACCCGGGAGGTGGTGGTTGCAGTGAGCCGAGATCATGCCATTGCACTCCAGCCTGGGTAACACAGAGAGACTTCATCTCCAAAAAAAGGGAAAAAAAAGAAAAATAAAAAAGAAAATTAGCTTTATCAAAATGTATAAAATTCTCGTTAAAGAATTTCGAGTAAGGCGCGGTGGCTCATGCCTGTAATCCCAGAACGTTGAGAGGCTGAGGCAGGTGGATCACTTGAGGTCAGGAGTTCGAGGCCAGCCTGGCCAATATGGTGAAACCCAATCTCTACTAAAAATACAAAAATTAACTGGGCGTGGTGGCACGCGCCTGTAGTCCCAGCTACAGGCTGGGGCAGGAGAATCGCTTGAACCTGGGAGGCGGAGGTTGCAGTGAGCCAAGATTGCGCCATTGCACTCCAGCCTAGGCATCACAGCAAGACTCCATCTCAAAAATAAAAATAAAAAGAATTAGCAGGGCATGGTAGCATGCGCCTGTGATCTCAGCTACTTGGGAGGCTGAGGCAGGAGAATCGCTAGAACCCAGGAGGCCGAGGTTGCAGTGAGCCAAGATCGTGCCACTGCACTCCAGCCTGGGTGATAGAGCGAGACTCTGTCTCAAAAAAAAAAAAAGCAGACCAGGTGTGGTGGCTCACACCTGTAATCCTAGCACTTTGGGAGGCCAAGGCAGGCTGATCGCTGGAACTCAGGAGTTCAAGACCAGCTTGGGCAACATGGTAAAACCCCGTCTCTACTAAAAATACAAAAAAAATAGCCAGGCATGGAGCAGGCACCTGTAATCCCAGCTACTTGGGAGGGTGAGGCACGGGAATCGCTTGAACCCAGGAGATGGAGGTTGCAGTGAGCTGAGATCGCACCACTGCACTCCAGCCTGGGTGACAAAGCGAGACTCTGTCTCAAAAAAAAATAATAATAATAAATAAATTTCAACAACCATGTCAAACTTAAAAGTTATATTTTAATGCCTAGACCTTAGGTGAATAATTCTCTTAGTGTAGCTATTAAAATGCCTACTGCTCTGTGTTTAGGGTGGGCCATCTGGCCAAGCTTCAGCACATATGAGGATGATGCACAAACAGCTAGACTATGAAAGCCCTCTTTGGCGTCTGTGGGATTTCCCATAGAGGGGTGGGTACATCTGACATCTGTGTTCTCCTGGCCCTGCAGGCTCACGTGATGGTTCTATGGGACTCTGGGAGGTGACAGATGATGTTTTGACCAAAAGTGATGCGAGACACAATGTGTCACGGGTCCCTGTGTATGCACACATCACTCACAAGGCCTTAAAGGACATCCCCAAAGAAGACACAAACCCTGACAACTGCAAGGTTCGGGCTCTGGCCTTCAACAACAAGAACAAGGTATGAACTTGTGTAGGGATCCCTGACGTGTATTCCTCTTGCTTATGTCTTGGGATATGCACTCCTTTTTCCTTCCCCATCAGTGCTTGCTACATAGCATGGTTCTGAGCCCACAGAACACCTCTTAAAGGCTGAGTGATGCTGGTGAGAAATTATAACTGAGGCTCTGAAACCCACCCCTTCAATTGGTGTCTGCAGTATTTCTCTGAGTAGTCTATATTTGTGGGTCAGCCTCACAGAATTCCCCTAGGGCCACCCTGATTTGACTGTCTGTCATTTGCACATGCCTTTGCAGGTGCTGTATTCTGGGCATGATTTTCATACTTGCTTCTGAAAACAATCACTTTTTTTCTCTTTGGTATTCATTCCTTTTTTTTTTTTTTTCTTTTTGAGACTGTGTTTTGCTCCTGTCACCTAGGCAGGAGTGCAATGGCACGATCTCAGCTCAAAGCAACCTCCACCTTCCAGGTTCAAGCAATTCTTCTGCCTCAGATTCTCAAGTAGCTGGGACTACAGGCATGCACCGCTACACATGGCTAATTTTGTATTTTTTAGTAGAGACGGGGTTTCACCATGTTGGCCAGGCTGGTCTTGAACTCCTGACCTCAGTTGATCCACTCTCCTTGGCCTCCCAAAGTTCTGGGATTACAGGCGTGAGCCACCATGCCTGGCCAGTATTCTTTACTGCCTACTTTCCCTTCACATTTCCACTAAGTCTTACCTTATTGAGTCAGATCTGATGCTGAGGTTTTAATAAAGCAGAGTGTCACCCAGGCGCAGTGACTCACGCCTGTAATCCCTGCACTTTCGGAGGCCGAGGCAGGCAGATCACAAGGTCAGGAGTTTGAGACTAGCCTGGGCCAACATGGTAAAACCCCATGTTTACTGAAAATACAAAAAAATTAGCCAGGCATGGTGGCATATGCCTGTATTCCCAGCTACTCAGGAGGCTGAGGCAGGAAAACTATAGGAGGTGGAGGTTGGCAGTGAGCCGAAATTGCGCCACAGCACTCCAGCCTGGGTGACAGAGCAAGACTCCATCTCAAAAAAAAAAAAAAAAAAAAAAAGCAGTGTCAGAATATACACCCAGAGCCAGAGAAAGGCTTCTCCAGAATCTGAATCAGGCCACAGTTTGAAGGGTAGTTCCCTCAACCTCCTATCCCATCTGTATTTATGGCCTAAGGGTAGATTAATCTCTCCTAAATTAGAGTCTTCACTTATAGAAATTCTCACACTAGATTATGAAACTGTCCTTCACATATGTGCCCTGCTTTAACTCTCCAACAGGACGTTGAGGGAGTGATAGCATAGTGAGGAGTTTTTCAACCATGGGTGCCTGTGTTATTGCTGGCAGCCTCAATTTAATATGCCATTCAGCTAGGTTCTGTAGGGTGAAGTAATGGTCTAATAATTACTGGCACCTCTGCTGGAATCATCACGAGACAGGAATAAAGGACCCTGACCTTAGAATCCTCGCCTGCTTATTATCGTACATTAGTTGCTATAGATGATAATATAACCTGGTTTTCATTGCTCTTGTAGGAACTGGGAGCAGTGTCTCTGGATGGCTACTTTCATCTCTGGAAGGCTGAAAATACACTATCTAAGGTGTGATGAACATGATTTTGTGGTTTTACCTAATAATTCACCTTACAGTTAAAATACTGTAATTCTAGCTGAGCTTTTTTTTCATGTTTATTTTATCTATTCATTTATTTTTGAGGCAGAGTCTCGCTCTGATGCCCAGGCTGGAGTGCAGTGGTGCAATCTTGGCTCACTGCAACCTCTGCCTCCTGGGTTCAACCAGTTCTTGTGCCTCAGCCACCTGAGTAGCTGCGGGGATTACAGGCGTCTGCCAACATGCCCAGGTATTTTTTTTGTATTTTTAGTAGGAACACAGTCTCACCATGTTGGCCAGGTTGGTATTTTTATTTTTAAAGACAATAAATACAGGGTCTCACTCTGTCACCCAAGTTGGAGTGCAGTCATGGCTCATGGATCAGTGCAGCCTTGAACTCCTGGGCATAAGCGATCCTCTTGCCTCAGCCTCCCAAGTAGCTGAGACTATGGGCATGTGTCACCACACCCATCTGGTTGTTTTTTTTGTTTTGTTTTGTTTTTTTAATTTTTTGTAGAGACAGAGTCTCACTATGTTTCCCAGGCTGGTTTTGAACTCCTGACCTCAAGCGATCCTCCCACCTTGGTCTCCCGAAGTGCTGGGCATTCAGGCATGAACCATTGCACCTGGTCTCAATTCTTGTTTAAAAGACCAGTTCTCCAAAGGCCTGGGCATGTTTTTGCACAGTACATGAAATTTTGAGTCTGGTGTGCCTCTCTTGCAGGAAAGTCTTTTAAAGAGTAAGACAGGGTGATTCTTTCCTATTGCATAAGCTTCCTGAGAGGCTCCTTTGACTAGCAGTCCTCCTCAACAATGCATTTAAGTATTTCTTTATAGATTGATGACTACTTGGCATGCTGTAAGGGAAGGAAATCCTGAGTGTTAGGAACCTTTGGCAATTGAAGATCGATCAAATTAAGATAAACCATCTCTGAAATAATCATGTAAGGTAATGAGAAAATAGACTTAATTTACAATACAAATTGGTCATCCCTAATCCAGAATGCTCCAAAATCCAGTTGGGCACAATACCTTAGGCCTGTAATCCCAACACTTTGGGAGGTTGAAGCAGGAGGATTGCTTGAGCCCAGGAGTTCAAAACTAGCCTGGGCAACACAGTAAGACCCTATCTCTGCAACAAAATTTAAAAATTAGCCATACATTGTGGCATATGCCTGTAGTCCCAGCTACTGGAGGGTAGCAGTGCTGAGGCAGGAGGACCACTTGAGCTGAGGAGGTCAAGGCTGCAGTGAGCCGTAATTTTGCCACTGCACTCCAGCCTGGGTGACAGAGCGAGACCCTATCTCAAAAAAAAAAAAAAAAAAAAAAAAAAGGCCTGGCGCGGTGGTTCACGCCTATAATCCCAGCACTTTGGGAGGCCGAGGCAGGTGGATCATGAGGTCAAGAGATTGAGACCATGCTGGCCAACATGGCGAAACCCCGTCTCTACTAAAAATACAAAAATTAGCTGGGCGTGGTGGTGGGCGTCTGTAGTCCCAGATACTTGGGAGGCTGAGGCAGGAGAATCGCTTGAACCCAGGAGGCAGAGGTTGCAGTGAGCCGAGATCATGCCACTGCACTCCAGCCTGGCAACAGAGCAAGACTCTCTCTCAAAAAAAAAAGCCTCCAAAGTCCAAAACTTTTTGAGCACCAACACAATGCCACAAATGGAAAATTTCACATGGGACACCTTTGCTTTCTGACAGGTCAGTGTACCAAACATTGTTTAATGCAGAAAATTATTTAAAATATTGCATAAAATTACCTTCACTCTATGTGTATAAGATGTATATGAAACATAAATGAATTTTGTGGTTAGACTTGGGTGCCATCCCCAAGATAGCTCCTTACATATATGTAGATATTTAAAAATCGGGGCCGGGTGCGGTGGCTCACGCCTATAATCCCAGCACTTTGGGAGGCCAAGGTGGGCGGATCGCAAGGTCAGGAGATTGAGACCATCCTGGCTAACATGGTGAAACCCCGTCTCTACTAAAAATACAAAAAATTAGCCGGGCGTGGTGGTGGGCGCTTGTAGTCCCAGCTACCCGGGAAGCTGAGGCAGGAGAATGGTGTGAACCCAGGAGGTGGAGCTTGCAGTGAGCTGAGATCGCGCCACTGTACTCCAGCCTGGGCGACAGTGCGAGACTCCGTCTCAAAAAAAAAAAAAAAAAGCTGGAGAAATCCGAAATTCAAAACATTTGTAGTCACAAGCCTTTTGGATAAGGGAGATTCAACAAGCAACTTTTACATAGAGTTAAACCTACCTGTGAATCATTTGTCTTTTTTTTATTTTTTTTGAGACAGAGTCTCACTTTGTTGCCCAGGCTAGAATGCAGTGGCACGATCTCAGCTCACTGCAACCTCCGCCTCCCAGGTTCAAGTGATTCTCCTTCCTCAGCCTCCTGAGTAGCTGGGATTACAGGCATGCACCACTACCCCTAGCTAATTTTTGGTATTTTTAGTAGAGATGGCATCTCACCAGGTTGGCCAGCCTGGTCTCAAACTCCTGACCTCAGGTGATCTGCCTGCCTTAGCCTCCCAAAGTGCTGGGATTACAGACGTTAGCCACCACGCCCAGCTTTTTCTCTTCTTCTTATCCTTGAGGACTTTGCAAGAGGAAGCAGGGTTCCAGGAATTAGTGATTCCTTCATGTCACAATAGCCTTTGAGCTCCACTGACCTTGTATGCTGTCTTATGTGTTGTATGCACCCACTGAGGATTTGCTAACTGACGAAGACCCAGGGTTAAGGCTGATGTGGGTTATCTGGGATTAAGCTAGTCCCATGGGCGTGCTTTCTATAGCGTACAATTCCCATTCAGGTGGGAAGGTGAGCTGGGGGTAGCCAGAGATCAGCCTCTTTATCTGAAAAGCACTGAGGTGGCCCTTCCTGGCAGACAGAACAGAGTGGGACTATGGCTTTAGTGCCCTGGAACGATTCCCAGAAACAACCTGAATAGTTGAAACAGCCTACCAAGAAAGGCCTTGGCCTTTCCAGCTACTTCTGATTATTTATTCCAGATTTACCTTTTCCCCAACCTATCTCCTTCAGTATCTAGGTCTTACCGTTTATTAACATTCACCTCCTCTTTCTCCTGTATACCTAGGGGTGGAACAGAGTGTTATTTCTGTAATCAGGGCTTGATTTTATGTGGCTTTTATATGAGGGAAGCCCATCAAGGTGGGAGTCCAGAAACAATATCCCTGCCTTACCCTCTCTGCTGATGCCATGGTTATATCTCTCCTCTATTTTCAGCTCCTCTCCACCAAACTGCCATATTGCCGTGAGAATGTGTGTCTGGCTTATGGTAGTGAATGGTCAGTTTATGCAGTGGGCTCCCAAGCTCATGTCTCCTTCTTGGATCCACGGCAGCCATCATACAACGTCAAGTCTGTCTGTTCCAGGGAGCGAGGCAGTGGTAAGAGTCCCTGTGTGCACCTCAGGCCTACAGCTGCACTGCATATGGGTTCTGACTTTCAGTTTCTTTGTTGGTTTCCAAACAGGTATAGTGCTCTGTATGGAACATTTGGAAGTGTGTTCAAAAAGGGGAGCGATGGCTAGGCGTGGTGGCTTACGCCTGTAATCCCAGCACTTTGGGAGGCCGAGGCGGGTGGATCACCTGAGGTCGGGAGTTTGAGATCAGCCTGACCAATAAATATGGAGAAACCCCGTCTCTACTAAAAATACAAAATTAGCCGGGCGCAGTGGCGCATGCCTGTAATCCCAGCTGCTCAGGAGGCTGAGGCAGGAGAATTGCTTGAACCTGGGAGGCGGAGGTTGCGGTGAGCTGAGATCGCACCATTGCACTCCAGCCTGGGCAATGAGCGCGAAATTCTGTCTCAAAAAAAAAGGGGTGTGGGGGGAGTGACACAAAAGGGCACTAGACTTTCAAACACCACAGACAAATGTGTGGCCACAGAAGCCTTTGTTGGGAGCCACCAGTCAGGATATTAGTTAGTAGTTTCCATGTTCTTTTAGAAAGCTCTACTTTTTTTTTGTTGTTGTTGTTTTTTTTTTTTGAGACAGAGTCTCGCTCTTTTGCCAGGCTGGAGTGTAGTGGCGTGATCTCAGCTCACTGCAACCTCTGCCTTCTGAGTTCAAGTGATTCTCCTGCCTCAGCCTCGCGAGTAGGTGGGACTACAGGCACACACCACCACGCCCAGCTAATTTTTGTATTTTTAGTAGAGACGGGGTTTCACCATGTTGGCCAGGATGGCCTTGATCTCTTGACCTTGTGATCCACCCACCTCGGCCTTCCAAAGTGCTGAGATTACAGGCGTGAGCCACTGCACCTGGCCGAGAGCCCTACTTTCTATCCTGTGGTAATTTTTTTGCTGTGGTCCTGCCTGAACTAAAATTCTATTTATGCTAAGATGTGGCATGGTGGGATAAGGAGGAAGTTTACAAAGGGCATGAGGAAACCTCAGGGTAATGAGTATGTTCATTATGTAGATTGTGGTTATGATGTCATGGATATATACATATGTCAGAACCTCAAATTGTATACTTTATGTGTCGTATATTGTATGACAAACCTCAATAAGGCTGAAGAAAATACTGAGTTTAGTTCTGACCACTGAGTAAATTAAGCTTCCACCTCAAATCTTTTATAACATATTCTCTGTAAGAGCACCCTCATTCTTTATTGAAGAGGGAAAAAATACTTATTTTAGTGTACTTTGAAGGTTTCAAAATACCTTTTTCTGACATGCCATTTCATCATACCAAGAACCCTGTGGGAAGCAGATGAGAAAACATAGTTTTACATATAAGACCTAGAGCCAGCTAAATAACTTGCCCAGCATCACACAGCTTGATGGGGGAACAGCTAGGGACCAGAATCCAACTTAACAAATTGTATTTTCTTTATCTCACTTTATCCCATTTCTCGCTTTATCCCATTTCTCATGCAAAAATATGGCTGTGTTATCCTGAGAGTCCTAAAAGGCACACTGTGGATTGCAGTTCACCCTCTCTTTTTCAAGTAGTGTTTATTCCTGTGCAGATACTGCAAAGTAGCTTTTGTTTTGGGTTTTTTGTGGTTTTTTTTTTTTTTTTTTTTTTGAAGACAGGGTCCTCACTCTATCAGCCAGGCTGGAGGAAAGTGGTGCAATCTCAGTTCACTGCAGCTTTTCCACCTGCCAGGCTCAAGCAGTCCTCCCACCTCAGCCTCCCGAGTAGCTGGGACTATAAGCGTCCGCCACCTCATTCAGCTAATTTTTGTATTTTTGTAGAGACAGGTTCTCATCATGTTGCCCAGAGTTGTCTCAAACTCTTGGGACACCCACCTCAGCCTCCCAAAGTGTGTGCTAAGATTACAGGGATTACAGCCGTGAGCCACTGTGCCCAGCTATTTCTTTTTTGTTGTTGTTGTTGTTGAGATGAGTCTTGCTCTGTCACCTAGGCTGGAGTGGAGTGGTGTGATCTCAGCTCACTGCACCCTCTGCCTCCCAGGTTCAAGCGATTCTCCTGCCTTAGCCTCCTGAGTAGCTGGGACTACAGGCGCGTACCACCATGCCCAGCTAATTTTTGTGTTTTTAGTAGAGATGGAGTTTCACCATGTTGGCCAGACTGGTTTTGAACTCCTGACCTCAAGTGATCCACTCACCTTGGGCCTCCCAAAGTACTGGGATTACAGGCTTGAGCCACCACGCCTGGCCTATTTGTTCTTAATTATAGTTAAAATGCTTACATTTTAGAACAAAGAATAATGTATAATGAGAGTAGTAGAGAAAGGAATAAATAGGGCCGGGCACGGTGGCTGATGCCTGTAATCCCAGCACTTTGGGAGCCTGAGGCAGGTGGATCACCTGAGGTCAGGAGTTCGAGACCAGCCTGATCAACATGGTGAAACCCTGTCTCTACTAAAAATACAAACAAAATTAGCTGGGGGTGGTAGCGGGTGCCTGTAGTTCCAGCTACTTGGGAGGCTGAGGCAGGAGAATCACTTGAATCTGGGAGGTGGAGGTTGCAGTGAGCCAAGATTGTGCCACAGTACTCCAGCTTTGGCAACAGAGCTCAAAAAAAAAGAGAAAAGACTAAATAGGTTTGGCTCTAATAATGTATGCAATGAAAAGTTTTAAGAGATTTTTGGTACTGTTTAATGGGGGTAACTTTCATACCTAATAAGGAAATACTGGTTCCACAAATATTATCCAGTTCTTATGTGCCAAGAGACATCTTCATATCCCAAGCACTGATTTGATCCCCAAGTACAGCAGATGTGTTTTCCTTGTGATCTAAAGTAATTACATGACTTGTCTTAAACATCTTTGGGTATTTAAGTTCTGGGCTTTTTGCCACTCTCAAAACACCTAATACTAGATAAAGACTTCTTGCATTGTGGCCGGGCACAGTGGCTCATGCCTATAATCCCAGCACTTTGGGAGGCCAAGGTGGATCACTTGAGGTCAGGAGTTCAAGACCAGCCTGGCCAACATGGTGAAACCCTGTCTCTCCTGAAAATGCAAGAATTAGCTGAGTGTGATGGCAGGAGCCTGTAATCCCAGCTACTTGGGAGGCTAAGGCAGGAGAATCGCTTGAACCCGGAAGGCAGAGGTTGCAGCGAGCCAAGATCGCGCCATTGCACTCCAGCCTGGGCGACAGAGCGAGACTCCATCTCAAAAAATAAAAAAAGACTTCTTGCATTTGCCACAGTAGTGGTTTTAGGTGAAATATAAGGAATCGTTGATGACTTAATGATTTATAAATATGCAGATTACCTTGAGTTGCAGTGTAGGTTGGAAACATATGATGGAGAAAAGCTTAGAGTTATGAAAGATGATCCCAGAGTGAGTTGAGAGGAAGCAAGGAAGTTCTCAGCACTTATGGTCTTCGGCCAAAAGCATCTTGAGCATCATCGGGAATCTGACACTTTTCCAAGGCTTCTTGGATGGTTTCTGTCAGTGTGTGGATAGGCAGGATGGCATCAGGATTCTCTTTGCTTTTGCATGAGCTAACTTGCCATTGGGAAAACACTGTCTGATACTTTGTGGGGCGGGTGGAGGGGAGCAGGGTGGACGTTGAAAACTCAGTGTTGGAGAAATTCAGGCTAGCAGACAGTCAGCAAATATTCTCTCCCGCCTCACTGCCTTTTACTTTTCTGTCTTTCAGGAATCCGGTCAGTGAGTTTCTACGAGCACATCATCACTGTGGGAACAGGGCAGGGCTCCCTGCTGTTCTATGACATCCGAGCTCAGAGATTTCTGGAAGAGAGGCTCTCAGCTTGTTATGGGTCCAAGCCCAGACTAGCAGGGGAGAATCTGAAACTAACCACTGGCAAAGGCTGGCTGGTGCGTAAGCCCCTACCTGAGATGACTGCTACACAGTAACAGAAAAATTATCTTCCTCTATCTCTCAGCCCCCACTGACACACCATCTACTCATACTTTTTCACTAGTAAGAGGCACTCATTGGAACAGGAAAAGACTTCCCCCGATTTTGCTTTTATGTCTGCACGTTGCCTGTGGGAAAACTGAGGCCCAGTAAAACACACTGGTTGACTTAGGATTTTCCCCAAGGTGTAATAGAGCAAGAAGGATAAGGGACCTCCCACCACAGCTGTCAGTGAATTTTTTTTTTTTTTTTTTTTTTGAGACAGGGTCACTCTGTTGCCCAGGCTGGAGTGTAGTGGTGTGATCATAGCTTACTGTATGTAGCCTTGAACTCCTGGGCTCAAGCAGTCCTCCTGCCTCAGCCTCCCAAGTAGCTGGGACCACAGGCATATGCACTGTGCCCGGCTAATTTATTTTTTTTTAGTAGAGATGGGGTCTCGCCATGTTGCCCAGGCTGGTCTCAAACTCCTGGGCTCAAGTGATTCTCTCACCTTGGCCTCCTAAAATTCTGGGATTACAGCCATGAACCACTGCGCCCCACCTCCAGTGAATTATTCAAGTGTTTGGTTCTTCCTCCTGTGCCTAGCAGGTGGAGGGAAAACAGAACTTTGGTTCTAAGTCTCCTGAGAAGAACTGAGCCTTGTATAGCAATTCTTCAGCTGCTCCGTTCTTCTCTAACGTTTAGTTGGAAAAATGAGGCCCTGATTCCCATGAGAACCAACCAGCCA
This sequence comes from Homo sapiens, assembly GCF_000001405.40. Lineage (NCBI taxonomy): Eukaryota > Metazoa > Chordata > Mammalia > Primates > Hominidae > Homo > Homo sapiens. The sequence goes on along the minus strand of NC_000009.12, from coordinate 34,088,641 downwards.
ATCTCCTGACATGAGGTTGTACCTGTAGAACCCTGTTCCCTTAAGGAGACCAGAAAGCATTCCTGTCCCTTCCTCCCCCTTTTCCTGCCCCATGGCTAGAGGTGCTAATTGTAGTCTCTTTCTCTTCCCGTAGAATCATGATGAAACCTGGAGGAATTACTTTTCAGACATTGACTTCTTCCCCAATGCTGTTTACACCCACTGCTACGACTCGTCTGGAACGAAACTCTTTGTGGCAGGAGGTCCCCTCCCTTCAGGGCTCCATGGAAACTATGCTGGGCTCTGGAGTTAATGACAACTCCCCAAATGCAGAGATTTACACTAACTTCCATTCTCAGTTTCCTTGTTTCTTTTGATTTTTTTTTTCCTAATTGTGTGAGGCTCTTGTGTTTTAGTGGGAACACCAAAGTTTGCCTATAGTTTAGGCACTTAATAGGAAGAAGCTCTGTACAGAAATCTGAAAGTTGTTTTGCTTTTTGTTTTCCCCTTTGGTAATCAAAATTTTACTATCTTTTATTATTTCTGGCTTTTCAACCAAACATTGTTGCTAATCCCTATTTTTCTTTAAGTGACACACATTCTCCTGTCTCTGGCTTCTTCAGGCTGAAATGACATAGCTCACCCTTACTTCACTCTTGAGAGGTAGGGCTCCTTTATAATTACATGGTTGCTCTCAGACTTTCTGTGAAAGTTTGGGAGCTGTGTGTGTCTGTGTGTGTGTGAGAGAGAGATCTTGTCTGCGTGTGTGTGTGTGATCTTGTGTGCCTGTAGGTACTGTGTGTCACTGAAATTACCTGGAGTGAGGATTACTTGTAATTAAAATATTTATAAAAGAAACAACTTTATTCACAGAGTCCAGCTTTGGGACTAGTCTGTATCTTGTTTTTTAAGTCTAACAACACTGATAATAGGAAGTAAAAACAGAAAGGAAAAGAAATTACCACTGGGAAAATCTTTTTAGTTAGATTGTAGGCTTCCTGGGGCCTCCCATGCCAGGACTGCAAAGTGATCCAGCCCTACCTGTCTTCCCACCTGTGTGTCCCCCGTGTGGGAAGTTGGTGTCACTTCCCCTTCCCACCCTCACATCTGCTTAGCCAGTAGCCACACCCCTAAAACATCAGACTCACCATCCAGGTGCAGCTCCAGAGGCTACAAAAGGCTTCATGGGACTTGAATCCCCATCCTAGCTTCTCTCTCCTTCCCCTCAAGACCTGATCTGGTTTTAAGGGGCCTGGAGCTGGGAGTCTCAAGTCTGCTAAGATTCACATCCATAGCCCCCATGGCTTTGAGGAGAATCCTCTCTGCCATTCTTCCAATCTCCCCAGTGGGTTTTGCTATTATTTTCTAAATTGGGTTAAGTCTAAGAAGGTGGGGGTGAGCAGGGGGTTTATCTGTGTGTAGTGAGTGCTTCATGTGTGGAATATTCATTTTCTTACTGCAGTGGGACTTGGGGTTGAAGCCACCCCTCCTACTCTGTTGGCTTAGCCCTGAGATGGTGACAGGCTGGCCTGCAGTCAGCATCATTGTGCATGTGACAGCATCAATGTGATTAGTAATTTGTCTGTTCCTCCCTTGAACTGTCTGTTTAGTCTGAGGTTTTTAAACTTGCAGGCAGCTGACTGTGATGTCCACTTGTTCCCTGATTTTTACACATCATGTCAAAGATAACAGCTGTTCCCACCCACCAGTTCCTCTAAGCACATACTCTGCTTTTCTGTCAACATCCCATTTTGGGGAAAGGAAAAGTCATATTTATTCCTGCACCCCAGTTTTTTAACTTGTTCTCCCAGTTGTCCCCCTCTTCTCTGGGTGTAAGAAGGGAAATTGGAAAAAAAATTATATATATATTCTCCTTTTAATGGTGGGGGGCTACTGGAGAGGAGAGACAGCAAGTCCACCCTAACTTGTTACACAGCACATACCACAGGTTCTGGAATTCTCATCTTCGAACCTAGAGAAATAGGTGCTATAAACAGGGAATTAAGCAAAATGCTGGATGCTATAGATCTTTTAATTGTCTTAATTTTTTTTCTATTATTAAACTACAGGCTGTAGATTTCTTAGTTCTCACAGAACTTCTATCATTTTAAACTGACTTGTATATTTAAAAAAAAAATCTTCAGTAGGATGTTTTGTACTATTGCTAGACCCTCTTCTGTAATGGGTAATGCGTTTGATTGTTTGAGATTTTCTGTTTTTAAAAATGTAGCACTTGACTTTTTGCCAAGGAAAAAAATAAAAATTATTCCAGTGCACAATGGTGTGAGTGAGTATTGTGTAGCCAGGAGCCTGCCAAAAAGGCCCCACATGACTAGTTGGAAGGTTGGCTTGAGCTGTTGGGATTGCTTGTGGCAGAAGGGGAACACAAGCCATTACCTCCAGGTTAGAGGCAGGTCAAGTGCAGGCACAAATACTAAGACCTGCTTGCTCTGGGTCCCCAACTCTAGCCCAAGATGAGTTGCTCTGAGGTCCAGCTGAGGGTGGATATGCCCAGGGTACTGAAGTAGTGTGACGTTACTTCTGTTACATAAGTAAGGGTTGGTAATAGGCCCTGTCTGCTTGGATGGTGCCCTGAGAATGACGCTGAAAGTGCTTGCATAGTACTCTGGGAATAGGATATTAATTTTTGTTTTTTGTAGTTGGAACCATAGACCTTCACTGCCCTTTGTAAGGGGAAGACACAGTGACCACAGTGAGTGATGCTCTTCTAGAGCCTATTTGGAGCTGTAGCTGAGAGAAACTGCCAAATCATACCACCCTTCCTCACACAGTCATCTCTGGGAAACCCACCAGGGCTAGGCCGCAGAGCCTGGCAAGGCCGTCCCTATTCTTCTGCCACATGGTACTTGTTCTTTCCAGGGCAAGCTGGACACAGCTGCTCTATGCACCTGCCTTAGAGACTGACTGGTTCAGAACATGACACATGGGTTCCTATATGATCAAAGGCTGCAAGACAGGAAGGGGAGATGAGTAAGTTAAAGCAATTTGAGAGGGCTCCCCAGAGGAGACGAGTTACATTTGGAAAGGGCTGAAACTAGCCTTTCCCAAAATGAATTTAGAAGGTATTTGTAAAATCTTCATTGTCAGCCGGGTGCAGTGGCTCACACCTGTAATCCCAGCACTTTGGGAGGCCCAGGTGGGTGGATCACCTGAGGTCAGGAGTTTGAGACCAGCCCAGCCAACATGGTGAAACCCCATCTCTACCAAAAATACAAAAATTAGCTGGGCGTGTTGGCGGGTGCCTGTAATCCCAGCTATTGGGAGGCTGAGGCAGGAGAATTGCTTGTACCTGGGAGGCAGAGGTTGCAGTGAGCCGAGATTGTGCCACTACACTCCAGCCTGGGCAACAGAGTGAGACTCCATCTCCAAACAAAATATATTGTCAAATCATTTTTGGGAAATGCAGATTAGAACAAAAGCAGCTTCATTCCTTTACCATCAGGTTTTTTTATTTTTAAAAATTGGAAAGGAGAGCTTTATTTCTCAAAGGGTTGCAGTCTGCAGGGTGGCCATTCTGACAGTCTGGGAAGTACAGCCTCTGGCCAGAAGTCAGAAACACAAACTGAGGGAGGGGCAAAGGGGACAGGAATTTATGTTGAACAAGGTGGCTGAATATATGTATTTAATAAGCTATAGGAGGAGTCATGAATATTTATAAAAGGAAAAAGGTACACATGTGCAACTGAACTCTTAGGTTTTTGGTATTTTACTATGGGACTTGTTCCATAGAACATGCTCACAAAGAAAGGTGACTTAGGGAATGTGGGGTTGACTTGGTCTAGGCCTCTGGCCTCCATGGAATCTTGGCCTTGCTCCCACTTTCCAGCCAGACTTTCCAGCAAAGCATGTATCACAGAAGGGCTTTGTGGGCTTTATGGGGTCCCTTTTTAGCCAGCAGTCCCTACTCCCTTCTGTGAAAGAACTTCTTGTTCTCTCTCAGGCACTTCTTGTTCTGTCTCAGGCCGCATGCCACATGCCTTATTCCAAATAGTCTGCTGGCTCCTCATCCTTTGGGTCCTTCTACAGGAGGCTTTGTAGCTGAACTGAATTCTTAGCCCTTCATGACTTGTTTATGCTCCAAGTCCCTGGTCCCCTGCCAACTCTAATTGATTATTGATCTGGCCCTGTGTTCCTAATAAAACTAAAGACTGCCCGCAGTCCAGGCCACTCTGATCCAGCTGCCATTCCTCGTGCAGATACCCAGAAATAGCAAGTCAGGATGTCCATACCTGTATCAGCACCAGGGATCAATCTTTTAGGAGTTAGCCTACGATCCAAGTGTTTTTGTTCTGCTTTTCAGTTGCTGGTATCTAGAAGACAACAATGAGGAGTGGGGGGTGGACAGGAGAAGGAATCACTCAGTGTTATTTGCTTCATGCTAGTTCATTCATATCTTTCTTCACGCTAGTGTGCTGAGATAACTGAAATGTTTGGGAGGATGGAAACATAGGCTGCTAATTCTGAAACCAGTGATGAAGACAATAAATTGCTCAGGTTTCTTAGCTTGGTTCTGCCCTTAGCTCCTCCAAAGAAGAATCCAATGAAAGAAATGTGAGACATAGGAATACTACCACTGGAGAGAAAGGTGTGAACTGAACTCAAGATGGAGATGGAGTTGTGAGCTCTTTTATGATTCCACTCTCCAAGAGAGGTGTGGACTATCCTCTATCAGAATCCCCCTGGGTTGGGCCTCACATCTGAACACTCTTCTTGATTAGTGTGGAACTGCCGAAGTCAGGATTTTTAAGGCATAATAATACTATTTAACAGTACTCAGGCCGTGTGCAGTGGCTCACACCTATAATCCTGGCACTTTAGGAAGCCGAGGCAGGCAGATCACGAGGTCAGAAGATCGAGACCATCCTGGCCAACATGGTGAAACCCTGTCTCTACTAAAAATACAAAAAATTAGCTGGGTGTGGTGGCTCGTGCCTGTAATCCCAGCTACTCTGGAGGCTGAGGCAGGAGAATCGCTTGAACCCAGGAGTTAGAGGTTGCAGTGAGTCGAGATCACGCCACTGCACTTCAGCCTGGCAACAGAGAGAGACTCCGTCTCGAAAAAAAAAAGTGCTCATAGTCACATGTTTACTATGCTTCTTGTTAAGCTGTAAGGTGTATTCAGAGCTATAATTAACATTGCTAGCGCTATGGACAGGAAGAAAACAGATGATCAACTCATACCTTAAAATAAACTGAGCTGGGTGCAGTGGCTTACACCTGTAATCCCAACACTTTGGGAGGCTGGGGTGGATTGCCTGAAGCCAGGAATTTGAGACCAATCTGGCCAACATAGTGAGACCCCATTTCTACACATAATTAATTAGCCTTGCATGGTGATGCCCACCTATAGTCCCAGGTACTTGGGAGGCAGAGACAGGAAGATCACGTGAGCCCAGGAGTTTAAGGCTGCAGCGCGCCAGGATTGTGCCACTGCACTCCAGCCTGGGCAACAGAGCAGGACCCTGTCTCAAAAAAAAAAAAAAAAAGAAAGAAACTGGCCAGGCGCAGTGGCTCATGCCTGTAATCCCAGCACTTTGGGAGGCCAAGGCAGAAAGATTGCATGATACTAGGAGCTCAAGATCAGCCTGGGCAATATAGCAAGACCTGGTCTCTACACAAAATTGAAAACTTAGCCAGGCATGATGGTGCACAGGAAGACTGTTTGAGCCCAGGAGTTTGAGGCTGCTGTGAACTATGATTGCGCCACTGCACTCCAACCTGGGTGACAGAGCAAGACCCTGTCTCAAAAAATAATAATAGGCTAGGCGTGGCTGCTCACACCTGTAATCCCAGCACTTTGGGAGGCCGAGGTGGGCAGATCATCTGAGGTCAGGAGTTTGAGACCAGCCTGGCCAACATGGCGAAACCCCACCTCTACCAAAAAATACAAAAATTAGCCGGGCGTGGTGGTGTGCTCCTATAATCTCAGCTACTCAGGAAGCTGAGGCAAGAGAATCGCTTGAACCCAGGAGGCAGAGGTTGCAGAAAGCCGAGACCACACCATTGCACTCCAGCCTGGGCAACAGAGTGAGACTCCGTCTCAAAAAAAAAATTCTCCCCTTGGGCCTCGAGAAAGAGCATTGCATGAGATTGGCGTCTTGTTTTCAGAGTTCTGGACTCCAAAACTATGAGAGAATGACTCTGTTGTTTTAAAACCCACCAAGTTAGGCTGGGCACAGTGGCTCATGCCTCTAATCCCAGCACTCTGGGAGGCTGAGGCGGGTGGATCGCCTGAGCTCAGGAGTTCGAGACCAGCCTGACCAATATGGTGAAACCCCGTCTCTACTAAAAATACAAAAAATTGGCCGGGCGTAGTGGCATGCACCTATAGTCCCAACTACTCGGGAGGCTGAGGCAGGAGAATTGCTTGAACCTGAGAGATGGAGGTTGCAGTGAGCTGAGATCGTGCCACTGCACTCCAGCCTAGGCGACAGAGCAAGGCTCCGTCTCAAAAAAAACAACAAAAAACAACCCACCAAGTTTGTGGTAATTTAGAAGTATTCTGAGGAATTTTTAGATACCAATTTTTGTAAAATCACACTAGATCAAAGGAAAATATTTTCTCTTACAATAATACACAGATAAACTGTAATATTAGTGCTAAGACTTAAAAAAGCAAAAAGTAAAGCTCAGAACCATGACTGAATTGATACTGGAGGAAGTGATCATCAAATCTGCATACCACTGGTTGCTTTTTCCTACCTATTTCAAACTATCTCAACTTTTTTTTTTTTTTTTGAGACAGAGTTTTGCTCTTCACACCCAGGCCAGAGTGCAATGGTGCGTTCTCAGCTCACTGCAACCTCCGCCTCCCAGGTTCAAGTGATTCTCCTGCCTCAGTCTCCCAAGTAGCTAGGATTACAGGCGCCCACCACCACACGTGGCTAATGTTTGTATTTTAAGTAGAGACAGGGTTTCACCATGTTGGCCAGGCTGGTCTCAAACTCCTGATCCACCACATTGGCCTCCCAATGTGCTGAGATTACAGGCGTGAGCCACCACACCCGGCCCTTTTTTTTTTTTTTTTTTTTTAAAGCAGAGCCTGGCTTTGTCACCCAGGCTGGAGTGCAGTGGTGCAATCTCAGCTCACTGCAGCTTGTGCCTCCTGGATTCAAGTGATTCTTGTGCCTCAGCCTCCTCTGAATAGCTGGGATTACAGGCACACACCACCACACCTGGCTAATCTTTGTATTTTTAGTAGAGGAGGGGTTTTGCCATGTTGCCCAGGCTGGTCTCAAACTCCTGACCTCAAGCAGTCCGCCTGCCTTGGTCTCCCAAAAAGTGCTGGGATTACAGACTTGAACCACCGCGCCTGGTCAATGTTGTTTTTTTGTTTGTTTGATTTTCTGTTTGTTTTTTCTTGAGACGGAGTCTCAGGCTGTCACAAGGCTGGAATGCAATGGCATGATCTTGGCTCGCTGCAACCTCCACCGCCCAGGTTCAAGCAATTCTCCTGCCTCAGCCTACCAAGTAGCTGGGATTACAGGCGTGTGCCACCATGCCCAGCTAATTTTGTATTTTTTTCTTTTTCTTTTTTTTTTTTTTTTTTGAGACAGAGTCCTGCTCTGCCACCCGGAATGGAGTGCAATGGCATGATCTCAGCTCACTGCAACCTCCGCCTCCTCGGTTCAAGCAATTCTCCTGCCTCAGCCTCCCAAGTAGCTGGGACTACAGGCGCCTGCCACCACATCTGGCTAATTTCTTTTTTTTTTTTTTTTGAGACAGAGTTTCGCTCTTGTTGCCTAGGCTGGAGTGCAATGGCGCAATCTTGGCTCACTGCAACCTCCACCTCCCAGGTTCAAGCGATTCTCCTACCTCAGCCTCCTGAGTAGCTGGGATTACAAACATGCGCCACCATGCCCAGCTAATTTTTGTACTTTCAGTAGAGATGGAGTTTCTCCATGTTGGTCAGGCTGGTCTCGAACTCCCAACCTCAGGTGATCCACCCACCTCAGCCTCCCAAAGTGCTGGGATTACAGGCGTGAGCCACCGCGCCCGGCTAATTTTTGTATTTTTAATAGAGACGGGGTTTCACCATATTGGCCAGACTGGTCTCGAACTCCTGACCTCATGATCCGCCTGCCTCGGCCTCCAAAGTGCTAGGATTACAGGCGTCAGCCAAGGCGCCTGGCCATTTTTTTTCTTTTTTTTCTAAACAGAGTCTCACTCTCGTCAGGCTGGAGTGCAGTGGCGCGATCTTGGCTCAGTCCAACCTCTGCCTCCCGGGTTCAAGCGATTCTCATCCCTCAGCCTCCCGAGTAGCTGAGTCTCTATGCCCGTGCCACCATGCCCAGCTAATTCTTGTATTTTTAGTAGAGACGGGATTTCACCAGCGTCTGGCCAGGATGGTCTCAATCTCTTGACCTCATGATCTGCCCACCTCAGCCTCTCAAAGTGCTGGGATTACAGGCGTGAGCCACCACACCCGGCCTTAATGTTTTTTTTTTTTTTAAACAGAGACAGGGTTTCGCCATGTTGCCAAGGCTGATCTCTCAAACTCTTGAGCTCAGATGATCCTCCTGCCTGCCTTGTCCTCCCAGAGTGCTGGGATTACAGGCGTGAGCCACCGTGCCCGGCCTAATTTTTGTATTTTTAATAGAGACAGGGTTTCACCATATTGGCCAGGCTGGTCTCGAACTCCTGACCTCATGATCCGCCTGTCTCGGTCTCCAAAGTGCTGGGATTACAGGCGTCAGCCAAGGCGCCTGGCCATTTTTTTTCTTTTTTTTCTAAACAGAGTCTCACTCTCATCAGGCTGGAGTGCAGTGGCGCAATCTCGGCTCACCCCAACCTCTGCCTCCCGGGTTCAAGCGATTCTCCTGCCTGAGCCTCCCGAGTAGCTGGGTCTACATGCCCATGCAACCATGCCCAGCTAATTTTTGTATTTTTAATAGAGACGGGATATCACCAGCATCTGGCCAGGATGGTCTCGATCTCTTGACCTCGTTATCCGCCCACTTCAGCCTCCCAAAGTGCTGGAATTACAGACCCGAGCCACTGCACCGAGCCTATCTCAACATTTTGAACTTGTACTCGAAGACATCCTTTCAAAGTGCAGGTTGTAGAGTTTTAGGATGCTTTCTCATCTTGAACAAGCCAAGAAAACGTACAGCTATCTTGGGTCTCCTTTGATAGCAGAAGATAATAAGAGATCTAGCTAAGACCTGAGATACCTAAACTTGCCTTGCTATGGAATCTGCCTTGCAGGCACCTGGGCAGACCTAGAGTTGCTAGCCAGGATGTCATAGGATTCTCAAAGATGATGGAGGTTGCGTGAGTCATCACAGATGATGTCAGCTTTGATGTTATTGTTCTGAGGCTATCAGTTTATTTAACTGGTGACTGTGGTCTTTATCAGGAACTCTTAGCCTATCAAATGGTATTTATGGTGTTGAAAAATTAGTATTATTTTTTGAGACACAGTCTCACTCTGTTGCCCAAACTGTACCTGGGCCTATTGTTTTGTGTTTGTTTGTTTGTTTGTTTTTTGTCGCTCAGGCTGGAGTGCAGTAGCACGATTTAGGCTCACTGCAACCTCCGCCTCTCTGGTTCAAGCAATTCTTCTGTCTCAGCCTCCCAAGTAGCTGGGACTACAGGCGCCTGCCACCATGCCCGGCTAATCTTTGTATTTTTTTTTTAGTAGAGACGGGGCTTCACCATATTGGTCAGGCTGGTCTTGAACTCCTCTAACTTCAGGTGATCCGCCCACCTTGGCCTCCTCCCAAAGTGCTGGGATTACAGGCGTGAGCCATCGCGCCTGGCCCCTGGCCCTAATTTTTTACTTTTTTATTTATATATATTTAAAAAAAATTTTTTTTTATTTTTTTTTCGAGACTTCCGTCACCCAGGTTGGAGTGCCGTGGTGCAATCTTGGCTCACTGCAACCTCCACCTCCCAAGTTCAAGCAATTCTTGTGCCTCGGCCGGGTGTGGTGGCTCACGCCTGTAATCCCGGCACTTTGGGAGGCCGAGGCGGGTGGATCACGAGGTCAGGAGATCGAGACCATCCTGGCTAACACGGTGAAACCCCCCGTCTCTACTAAAAATACAAAAAAGTAGCTGGGCATGGTGGTGGGCTCCTGTAGTCCCAGCTGCTCAGGAGGCTGAGGCAGGAGAATGGCATGAACCTGGGAGGCGGAGGTTGCAGTGAGCTGAGATCACGCCACTGCACTCCAGCCTGGGCGACAGAGCAAGACTCCGTCTCAAAAAAAAAAAAAAAAAATTCTCGTGCCTCAGCCTCCCGAGTAGCTGGGATTATAGGCGCGTGCCACCGCGTCTGGCTAATTTTTGTATTTTTAGTAGAGATGGGGTTTTACCATGTTGGCCAGGCTGGTTCAAACTTCTGAACTTAGGTGATCTGCCCACCTCGGCCTCCCAAAGTGCTGGGGTACAGGTGTGAGCCAGTGCGCCCGGCCTATATTTATTTAAAAAAAAAAAAATTGGGGGCCGGGTGTGGTGGCTCACGCCTGTAATCCCAGGACTTTGGGAGGCCAAGGTGGGCAGATCATGAGGTGAGGAGATCGAGACCATCCTGGCTAACACCGTGAAACCCTATCTCTACTAAAAATACAAAAAAATTAGCCAGGCGTGGTGACGGGCGCCTGTAATCCCAGCTATTCGGGAGGCTGAGGCAGGAGAATGGCATGAACCCAGGAGGCGGAGCTTGCATTGAGCTGAGATTGCACCACTGCACTCCAACCTGGGCGACAGAGCGAGACTCCATCTCAAAAAAAAAAAATTTTTTTTACTCAGGGTCTCTTGCTCTGTCACCCAGGCTGGAGTGCAGTGGCAGGATCATGGCTCACTTCACAGCTGACTTCAATCTGGAACTTCTGGGCTCAAGCGATCCTCCCTCTTCAGCTTTTCAAGTAGGACTACAGGCACGCACTGCTATGTCTGGCTAATTTTTGAAACTTTTTTTGTAGTCATGGGGTCTTGCTTTTTGCCCAGGCTGTTCTTAAACTCCTGGATGCAAGCCATCCTCCTGGCTGGGCCTCCCAAAGTCGTGGGATTACAGGCCTGAGTCACCATGCCTAGCACAAATTTTATTTTATTATTTTGTTGAGACAGGATCTCATGCAATCACCAAGGCTGGGGTGGAGTGGCTCAATCATAGTTCATTGTGGCCTCAAACTTCTGGGCCCAAGCCATCCTCCTGCCCCAGCCTCCTGCCACAGGCGCACACCACCTTCCCTGGCTAATTTTTTTTTTTTTTTTTGAGACAGAGTCTCTCTCTGTCGCCCAGGCTGGAGTGCTGTGGCGCGATCTCAGTTCACTGCAAGCTCCGCCTCCTGGGTTCACGCCATTCTCCTGCCTCAGCCTCCCGAGTAGCTGGGACTACAGGTGCCCGCCACCACGCCTGGCTAATTTTTTGTATTTTTTAGTAGATATGGGGGTTTCACCGTGTTAGCCAGGATGGTCTCGATCTCCTGAACTCGTGATCCGCCCACCTTGGCCTCCCAAAGTGCCGGGATTACAGGTGTGAGCCACCGTGCCCAGCCAACCCCTGGCTAATTTTTTAAACAATTTTTAGTAGAAATAATATTGGCCAGGCGCGGTGGCTCACGCCTATAATCCCAGCACTTTGGGAGGCCAAGGCGGGTAGATCACTTGAGGTCAGGAGTTTGGAACCGGCCTGGCCAACATGTTGAAACCCCATCTCTACTAAAAATACAAATATTAGCTGGGCGTTGTGGTGGAGCACACCTGTAATCCAGCTACTCAGGAGGCTGAGTCAGGAGAATCGCTGGAACCCAGGAGGCAGAGGTTGCAGTGAGCCGAGATTGCACCACTGCACTGCAGCCTGGGCAACACAGAAAGACTCCATCTCAAAAAAGAAAAAAAAAAAAGAACGTTTCACCATGTTTCCCAGCTGGTGTGGAACTCCTATATTCAAACAATCCTCTTGTCTCAGCCTCCCAAAGTGCTGGGATTACAGGCATGAGCACCTGTGCCCAGCCTAATTTTTAAATGTTGGAGTTTTTTTAATAATAAAATGTTGTTGTTGTTGAGATGGAGTTTTGCTCTTGTTGCCCAGGCTGGAGTACAATGGATTCGATCTCAGCTCACTGCAACCTCCACCTCCCGGGTTCAAGCAATTCTCCTGCCTCAGCCTCCCGAATAGCTGGGATTATAGGCACCCGCCACCACGCCCGGCTAATTTTGTATTTTTATTAGAGATCAGGTTTAACCATGTTGGTCACGCTGGTCTTGAACTCCTGACCTCAGGTGATCCACCTGCCTTGGCCTCCCAGAGTGCTGGGATTACAGGCGTGAGGCACTGAGCCTAGCCATAAAAAGTTTTTTAAATGTACATATATAGCCCACTTTTGAAAGAATGAAGTAGCTGGGCATGGTGGCTCATCCCTGTAATCCCAACACTTTGGAAGGCCAAGGTGCCAGGATCACTTGAGCTCAGGAGTTCAAGACCAGCCTGGGCAACACAGGGAGATCCCATTTCTAAAATTTAAAAAATTAGCCAGGCATGGCCAGGTGCAGTGGCTCACGCCTATAATCCCAGCACTTTGGGAGGCCAAGGTGGGCAGATCACCTAAGGTCAGGAGTACTAGACCAACCTGGCCAACATAACGAAACCCCGTTTCTACTAAAAATACAAAAATTAGCCGAGTGTGGTGGTGTACACCTGTAGTCCCAGCTACTTAGGAGGCTGAGGCAGGAGAATCGCTTGAACCCAGGAGGCGGAGGTTGCAGTGAGCTGAGATCGCACTACTGCATTCCAGCCTGGGCGACAGAGTGAGACTGTCTAAAAAAAAATAAAAAAACAATAAAAAAAAGATTAGCCAGGCATGGTGGTGCACACCTGTGGGCCCAGCTATTTGGGAGGCTGAGATGGGAGGATCACTTGAGCCTGTGAGGTCAAGGGTGCAAGTGAGCCAAGATTGCACCATTGCACTCCAGCCTGGGTGACAGAGCAAGAATCTGTCTCAAAAAATAAAAATAAATAAAAGCATAAGCTTGTCCTTTTGACATTTTGGGCTGGATGATTTAAAAAAAAGAAAAGGGCTGGGCGCAGTGGCTCACGCCTGTAATCCCAGCACTTTGGGAGGCCGAGGCGGGTGGATCACGAGGTCAGGAAATTGAGACCATCCTAGCTAACACAGTGAAACCCTGTCTCTACTAAAAGTACAAAAAATTAGCCAGGCGTGGTGGTGGGCGCCTGTAGTCCCAACTACTCGGGAGGCTGAGGCAGGAGAATGGCATGAACCCGGGAGGCGGAGCTTGCAGTGAGCCGAGATCGCGCCACTGCACTCCAGCCTGGGTAACAGAGCAAGACTCCGTCTCAAAAAAAATAAAAATAAAAATAATTAAAAAAAGAAAGAATGAGGCTGGGCACGGTGGCTCACGCCTGTAATCCCAGCACTTTGGGAGGCCAAGGCGGGCCGATCACGAGGTCAGGAGATCGAGACCATCCTGGCTAACACAGTGAAACCCTGTCTCTACTAAAAGTACAAAAAATTAGCCAGGCGTGGTGGTGGGCGCCTGTAGTCCCAGCTGCTCGGGAGGCTGAGGCAGGAGAATGGCATGAACCCGGGAGGCAGAGCTTGCAGTGAGCCGAGATCGCGCCACTGCACTCCAGCCTGGGTAACAGAGCAAGACTCCGTCTCAAAAAAATAAAAATAAAAATAATAATAAAAAAAAAAGAATGAGGCTGGGCGCGGTGGCTCACGCCTGTAATCCCAGCACTTTGGGAGGCTGAGGCGGGCAGATCACGAGGTCAGGAGATCGAGACCATCCTGGCTAACACAGTGTAACCCCGTCTCTACTAAAAAATACAAAAATTTAGCCGGGCGTGGTGGCGGGCGCCTGTAGTCCCAGCTACTCGGGAGGCTGAGGCAGGAGAATGGCGTGAACCCGGGAGGCGGAGCTTGCAGTGAGCCGAGATCACGCCACTGCACTCCAGCCTGGGCGACAGAGCGAGACTCCGTCTCAAAAAAAAAAAAAAAAAAAAAAAAAAAAAAAAAAAGAGGTAAAGCTATAGGTACTGACATACAATGATTGTTAAGATATATTGTTAAATGACGAAATAATTACAAACCAGCTTACCAACTTCCCATGTCAAAATCTTTCAAGATGTAGTTCAGGTTCCAACTCTTCTAGAAAGCCTTCCACGGTCACATCTCTCCTTAGGGAGCCCTGCCTTCTAAAGGCTTTCCAAGCACAGGCAGGTACAAGATTGGAGAGCCCCAGAGTCTTATGGGAGATTTGGGGCCAATGAATCCATCATATACCCAGTAGGGGGAGCCAGAGCTTAGCTCCTCGCTTCTGGAGATCCCTCTCCTGCATAAATTCCACATGGAGTGTGGAGAAAACAAAGATATGCACAAAAATGTCTTTTAAAGGGACTGCGGAGAGAGGAAGGTAGCTGTAGTGTGAAAGAGTTTTTTGTTTTTGTTTTGAGACAGGGTCTTGCTGTGTTGCCCAGGCTGGAGTGGAGTGGCCCCATCTTGGCTCACTGCAGCCTCAACCTCCTGGTCACTCAAGCAATCCTCCCACCTCAGCCTCCTGAGTAGCTGGGACTACAGGCATGCACTACCCTGCATGGCTAATTTTTTTTTTTTTTTTTTTAGAGACAGGATTTTCTTTATTGCTCAGGCTGGTCTCAAACTCGAAGGAGTTTTTGGGGTTTTATTTCACTTTATTGAGGTTTTCAGAGTAGCAATCCTTGAATCAAGCTTCCCTCTGCATTTATCTGCAGATTTGATTTACAAAGATGTGAGCATACAGCTTCTCAGAAGTGTGTGTGTTTTGTTTAAAGCCAAATAGATCTTATTGTGGAAGGAATGGAATGTTGCCACTGGATCACTGGATCACCAAATTCAATAAATTGAGGTGGGGTGCGGTGGCTCATACCTAACCTCAGCGCTTTGGGAGATTGAGGTAGGAGGATTGCTTGAGGCCAGGAGCTCAAGACCAGCCTAGTCAACATACCAAGACCTCATCTCTATTAAAAAAAGAATTTAAAAATCACTACAAGTGGCACGTACCTGTAGTCCCAGCTACTTAGGAGGCTGAGATGGGAGGATCGCTTGAGCACAAGAAGTTTGGGGCTGTAGTTAGCTATGATTGCACCACTGCACTTCAGCCTGGATGACAGAGCCAGATCCTATCTGAAATAAATAAATAGAGCATTGGAGGAGTTAGGTAGGAGGCAGCTTAGAGAAAGAGCACTGGATCTGAGGTTGAAGCTCCCAGTTAAATCCTGTTTCTAATCATTAACCAGCTTTTGACTGCAGGCAGGTAACTAAATCTCTTGGCTGACTGTGAACTTCTGCAACATAAAACGTGACGGTGTTTACAGAGCACAGCTGTAAAGCATTCTTAGGGCTCCCTGAGTCATCGGCTGAGCTCTTACAGTCCAGGAGAGATGGCAGAACTCCCTCACTTAAAGTCAGGCCAAATAATTTTGACTCTGAAGCACCAGAAACAGGGGGAGGTAACTTTTACACCAAGCTCCAAGCCCTCAAGCCTCCAGCCAGGCCTTTACCCAATCCTGAACCATTAACCTCTGTACTCCCCCTGGTTGTAGCCTACCCTATATAACCACAGTGAGGCAAGACACCCAGCCATATTGCCTGCATGAGGAATAAGCCATGTGTGGCCTTTCCCCGGGACTCAGGGGACCTGAGCAACCTGGAGGAAGAAACTGAAACCTGGGCTCTCAGATATTGCTGGGAGGCAGCTTCTCAGAGAACACCGGGAGCTCTGCTAGGATCTGAGCTGACACAGTTGGATGGAGGCCCCAAGAAACAGGCATTGGTGCTCTTTGGAGATGTCCTTTCAGGCAGAAGTAGCCACTATGCTGACCAAGAAAGAGGTGACTTGAGTGTTAGCTTTGCCCCACAGGCACGGTCTCAGCTCCTAAAAGTCCAGTTTGGCTCTATCTGTATTTGAAGGAAGGTGTCGACTTGTGTTTTCCTTGAGATCTCTCCCCTCCTCAGGTCTCTTTCTTACCATCAGTAGCCAGCTGTGGCTACAGCTGAGGACAGGAATTTTCTGCAGGGGCTATTCAGCAGGGCATGTCAGGGCCTGCAGGAACTGGTTTAACTTGCTTCTGAGAGTCTTGACTCTGCCTCAGACTCCTTTGGCTTTAGGGTAGGGAGGTGATTCTAGAGGTAGGGAGAGCAGGAGACAGGATACAGCCAAAGGGATCTGTCAAGTCAAAGAGGTCCCTGGAGAGGTGACTTTTTGCTCCACAGAAGGAGGAGAGGGCCTCCCAGGCTTCCACTAAACTATCTGCTCATAGGTCCCAAGACTCCAGCTTCTCTCTTCCTTGTTTTTTTTTTTTTTAATTTTTTGAGGCAGAGTCTCGCTCTGCCACCCAGGCTGGAGTGCAGTGGTGCGATCTCACCACTTTACTCCAGCCTGGGCGACAAAGTTAGACTCCATCTCAAATAATAATAATAATAATAATAATAATAAATAAAGTGATGATAGGTGTGCTTCCATGTACCCCTCCAGATCTACTCTCTGCCCTACTGGGTACTCCTGGTCTATCAGTAGGCCTTCTTGTCCTCTGCCTTCTGGTTAAATTCTCCCAATGGAGATTAGGAGGAAAGAGGATTGGGACAAGAGGTTATTTATGGCCGGGCACCGTGGCTCATGCCTGTAATCCCAGCACTTTGGGAGGCTGAGGTGGGGAGATCACCTGAGGTCAGGTGTTCGAGACCAACCTGGCCAACATGGCGAAACCCCATCTCTACTAAAAATATAAAAATTAGCTGGGCATGGCAGCGCGTGCCTTTAGTCCCAGGTACTTGGGAGACCGAGGCAGAATTGCTTGAACCCGGGAGGCGGAGGCTGCAGTGAGCCAAGATCGTGCCACTGCACTCCAGCCTGGGCGACAGAGTGAGACTCCGTCTCAAAAAAAAAAAGAGGTTATTTATTTTCCACTGACACCCCACCTTCCTAAAAGTGGAGTCACTGCAGACCCCTGTCAGGTGACCCTTCTCATTTGTTTGCTGCTCCCTTCCTGTTGTCCCCTGAAGCCCAATAGTGATCAGGTTTCCACACTGTCACTGGCCCTCGGGCACTGTAACATCTCTCGTTGTCGTTATTAAACTCTCCTCAATTATCCATCTATTTCTTGCTGGGGACCTGATAAATAAGGACATGTATCTTACTACAGATTGCCATCTAACCTGGCTCTGTCATTTGTCTGTAGGATCTCAGTAAGTTACCTAACCTCTCTGAGCTTCGGTTTTCTCATATGTAAAATATTGCAGGAAGAGGAGGTGTGCTCTAAAGTCATTTTTCGCTCTTAGAATCTTTGGTTCTAAGGTGATAAAAGGTGATAATAATTCTAACTCCTATGGAATTCAACCAGGAGGATTGGGCCTGAATGGAAACGTAGGTAAGATTATTCCACTGGGCATTTGGGCTGGAGGAAGGTGCATGCTCAAAATATCCCAGAGTTAAGAGTAGGGAAAAAAGCAAGAAATACCGCCATCTGTACTGCATGTGTATTTATTTGAAACATGATCCTTTCCAAGAAATTCTGCAGAGTTGTGGTGGGAATCAGCTTTTATTTTATCTTCAGCTCTGTTTGTATTTGTCTTCTCTTGTTAGAAAAAAAAATGTCAGAAAAATCTTTCTCCTGGTGTTTTTTTCTCAGTCTCTTTCTATTAATAGTGCCTCTAGGTTTCTCTCTGTATTTCTGTTTCTTTCTGTTTTTGTTTCTCTCCATGAAACAAAGAAAAAAAGAAAAAGACATTTTCCCCTAGGACCCTCCCAAGAGGGAAGAATCAGAAAGTTTCTAAACCAGGCACCTAGCAGGTTTACAAATGACTCAGCCAGAACTGACCAGCACCTGGGCCTGCCAGTTAGAGGAAAAGAGTCCCAGATGCCGGGAAGCTTTGGCCCCAGAGAAGTTTTCCCAGACTGAGTGAGGCAAAGGCTGACAATTACTTCTTTTTTTTTTTAATTTTTTTGAGATGGAGTCTTGCTCTGTCACCCAAGCTGGAGTGCAGTGGTATGATCTCAGCTCACTGCGACCTCTCCCTCCTGGGTTCAAGCGATTCTCCTGTCTCAGCCTCCTGAGTAGCTGGGATTACAGGTGTGCACCACCACACCCAGCTAATTTTTGTATTTTTAGTAGGGATGGTGTTTTACCATGTTGGCCAGGTTGGTCTCAAACTCCTGACCTCAGGTGATCTGCCCACTTCGGCCTCCCAAAGTGCTGGGATTACAGGCATGAGCCACTGCCCGGCCTGATAATTACTTTTAACTTTACTTTTTTTTTTTTTTTTGAGACAGAGTCTTGCAGTGGTGCGATCTCAGCTTACTGCAACCTCTGCCTCCTGGGTTCAAGCAATTCTCCTACCTCAGCCTCCTGAGTATCTGGGATTACAGGTGTGCGCCACCATGCCCGGCTAATTTTTGTATTTTTTGTTTGTTTGTTTGCTTAGTAGAGATGGGGTTTCACCACGTTGGCCAGGCTCGTCTCAAACTCTCGACCTCAAGTGATCCGTCTGCCTTGGCCTCCAAAAGTGCTGGGATTACAGGAGTGAGCCACCACACCCGGCCTTTTAACTTTACATTTTGGAATGAATCAACTTTGGACAGAATCCACCTGGATGTTTCTTGCATCACCCAGGTGACTTATACCTGTGATTTCAGGAAAAGTGCTCATAAACCAGAGACGGAGGCTGAGGTTCTCTTTTACTGGAGTCAGAGATGGCACTAGGATTTTTAGAGCTGGAAGGATGTCAAAGATTATTTACAATAAAACCTCTTTGTTTTACAAAGTGAAGGAACTAAGATGCAGAGATAGAAAGAGTCTTGCCCAAGGTCACACAGTAAATTAATAGTAGAGGCTAACAATAGCTAAAAGGTACGGAATGTTAGCCTCTGCCATACGTCATTTTCATATATTCACATTTAATCCCCTTAATGACTCTATGGAGGAAGCATTAGTATCATCTCATTTTACAGATGAAGAAACTGAGGCCCAGAGAGATAAAGTAACTTGCCTGCACTGGAGTCAGAGTTCTCCACTACTTCACTCTCCACTTCCAGCATTATATTGTAGGTTGATGTAGCTTGATATATCCTGTAACTTTATTTTATTTTATTTATTTTTTGTTTTGTTTTTTGAGACAGGTTTCTCTCTGTCGCCCAGGCTGGAGTGCAGTGGTGCAATGTTTGCTCACTACAACCTCTGCCTCCTGGGTTCAAGCAATTCTCCTGCCTCAGCCTTCCAAGTAGCTGGGATTACAGGTCCACATCACCATGACCGACTAATTTTTGTATTTTTAGTAGAGGCAGGGTTTTGACAAGTTGGCCAGGCAGGTCTTGAACTCTTGACCTCAAGTGATCCAACAGCCTTGGCCTCCCAAAGTGCTGGGGTTGTAGGTGTGAGCCACCACGCCCGGCCATATCCTGTAACTTTAAATAGGCTGTGGTAGGGATATTTATGCCACAGAAATCAGCACATGCTACATATTAGGGCTTGTTTTGTTGATTGTTGAGTTTTTTATTGTGTGGTGTTTTTTGTTGCTGTTTTGTTTTGTTTGTTTTGAGACAGGGTCTTGCTCTGTCACCCAGCTGGAGTGCACTGGCACAATCATGGCTCACTGCAGCCTTGACCTCCCCAGGTTCAGGTGGTCCTCCCAGGTCAGTCTCCTGAATAGTTGGAACTACAGGTGTGCACCACCATGCCCAGCTAATTTATATATATATATATATATAAAATTTTTTATAGATAGGGTTTCCCCATGTTGCCCAGGCTACTCTCAAACTCCTAGGTTCAGGCAGTCGTCCACTGGGACTACAGGCATGTGCCACCACACCTGGTTAATTTTTAAATTTCTTGTAGAGACACGGTCTCACCATGTTGCTAACTTTTGTATTTTTAGTGGAGATGGGGTTTTGCCATGTTGCACAGGCTGGTCTCAAACTCCTAGCCTCAAAGGATCCGCCTGCCTTGGCCTCCCAAAGTGTTGGGATTACAGAAGTGAGCCACTGCACCCAGCGTGAGCTTTTAAGGCCCCAGCACCTGTTGGAGGTACATTCCACCTAAGCCTGGGGACCTTGGCTGAATGCATCTCTAGGCTGTTTAGGAACTGACTTCTTTTTTTTTATTTACTTATTATTATTTTTTTTAGATGGAGTCTTGCTCTCTCCTAGGCTGGAGTGCAACGGCGCAATCTCGGCTCACCGCAACCTCTCCTTCCTGGGTTCAAGCGATTCTCCTGCCTTAGCCTCCCGAGTAGCTGGGATTATAGGCACCTGCCACTGTGCCCAGCTAATTTTTTGTATTTTTTTAGTAGAGATGAGGTTTCCCCATGTTGGCCAGGCTAGTCTCGAACTCCTGACCTCAGGTGATCCACCTGCCTCAACCTCCCAAAGTGCTGGGATTACAGGTGTGAGCCACCACTCCCGGCCAGGAACTCTCTTCTTACTCATACTTCAGAAACCAGGAAAGTCTTCCCCTGATACCTGCCATGGTCACTGATGGCCCCTACTGAAGGTGCAGCCCTGGGCAGGTCACATGACCTGCTACGACCACCAACCTCAGCTGACTGGACCAGGGTGAAAATCTCCATATCCTAGAGTGACCATTGACCCATAGTATTATCTGGCTTGAAAAATTGAGCTAAGCTCTTTTTTTTTTTTTTTTTTTTTTGAGACGGAGTCTCCCTGTTTTACCCAGGCTGGAGTGCAGTGGCGCAATCTCGGCTCACTGCAAGCTCCGCCTTCCGGGTTCACGCCATTAGCCTGCCTTAGCCTCCCAAGTAGCTGGGACTACAGGCGCCTGACATCACCCCTGGCTAATTTTTTTGTATTTTTTTAGTAGAGACGGGGTTTCACTGTGTTAGCCAGGATGGTCTCCATCTCCTGACCTCGTGATCTGCCCTCCTCGGCCTCCCAAAGTGCTGGGATTACGGGCTTGAGCCACCACACCCAGCCCCCTTTTTTTTTTTTTTTTTTTTTTTTGAGACGGAGTCTCACTCTGTCGCCCAGGCTGGAGTGCAGTGGTGCAATCTCAGCTCACTGCAACCTCTGCGTTCCAGGTTCAAGTGATTATCCTGCCTCAGCCTCCCGAGTAGCTGGGACTACAGGCGTGCACCACCATGCCTGGCTACTTTTTGTATTTTTAGTAGAGACGGGGTTTCACCATGTTGGCCAAGCTGGTCTCAAACTCCTGACCTCATGATCTGCCCACCTCAGCTCCCAAAGTGCTGGGATTACAGGCGTGAGCCACCATGCCCAGCCTGAAAAGTTGAGCTCTTTAAGATTTCTTTCAGGAATTTGTACTTGATAAGAAACAACCAAACCTAACTGGAGAAATCTCAATCTTTTCATATCCTGCACACTTAGTTTCTCCTCTCTGAGGCCTTACCTGGTGCCCTGCCCCTTCTGGTACAATTCTCTATTTCCACATACTTAAAGGATTTGCATATCTGTTTACCTGTTAGATTATGAAGACCCTGAAGACAAAATATGATATATTGTCTCCCACTACCTAATATAGTCTCAGGCATTTATTTAGTGAACAACAATAATTGCTTGTCAAAGGGGCATTCTAGGGAGAGGAAAGAATAGCAGTTAATCTCTCTGGGCCTCAAATCTTCCTCTTTAAAATAATGATAATATTTCCTTCACTGCCAGGAAGATGGATTTGGGCTCAGGAGTCATTTCCAAGATATATGACCATTACAGTTTTCCCAAGAGCAGAGCTCAGTATCAGAAATGTTGAGAAGTATTGTGGTTTTTCAGCCAAAAGGCGTTTTTTTGTTGTTGTTGTTGTTTTTTTTTTTTAGAAACAGGGTCTCACTATGTTGCCCAGACTGGTCTTGAAATCCTGGGCTTGGCCGGGCGTGGTGGCTCACACCTGTAATCCCAGCACTTTGGGAGGCCAAGGCGGGTGGATCACGAGGTCAAGAAATCGAGACCCTCCTGGCCAACGTGGTGAAACCCCGTCTCTACTAAAAATACAAAAATTAGCTGGGCGTAGTGGCACGTGCCTGTAATCCCAGCTAATCGGGAGGCTGAGGCAAGAGAATCGCTTGAACCAGGGAGTTGGAGGTTCCAGTGAGCTGAGACTGCACCACTGCACTCTAGCCTGGCAACAGAGCAAGACCCCATCTCAAAAAAAAAAAAGAGAGAAATCCTGGGTTCAAGCTATCCTCCTTCGTCCCAAAGTGCTGAGATTACAGACATGAGCCACTGCCTGGCCTGGTCTTGCTTTTAAGGAGCCCACAGGTGTAGCCATTCTGTCCTTGCAGAAGGCCATACTGAACTATCTTTGGCCTGAAACAAGGCCCAAGCTGCTAGGAGGTTATCATTTGACTGGGGGAATGTTGGGGAAGGTCTGGGCCAAACAGGTTGTCAAGCCCCCTTCTTCCCTCCCTAGTGTGCTGTGGGCGGCATGTTTTCTTTTCTGGCTGGGCTGGGAATTATACTCATCCTCATCAGAACAGATTTCTCGGGCTGGTTGCGGTGGCTCACGCCTGTAATCCCAGCACTTTGGGAGGCCGAGGCGGGCGGATCACGAGGTTAGGAGATCCAGACCATCCTGGCTAACAGTAAAACCCCGTCTCTACTAAAAATACAAAAAAATTAGCCGGGTGTGGCGACAGGCACCTGTAATCCCAGCTACTGGGGAGGCTGAGGCAGGAGAATGGTGTGAACACGGGAGGCGGAGCTTGCAGTGAGCCAAGATCGCGCCGCTGCACTCCAGCCTGGGCGATAGAGCGAGAAAAAAAAAACAGATTTCTCCTCATGACTACCATGTGTTCATTCTTGGAAGAGCAATGGAAGAGTTTTGCTTAAGTTAACTAATTTAAAGTTGATATGCAAGTGAGTGCCATCAAAAGTGTTCTTTCTTTAGTGACCACAGCTGGCCCACCCTCAAGTTGGCAGAACTGGCGGCATATCAGCAGAGGATCTGAGGGTGTGGCCTCCTCATCTAAAATATCATACCACCACCTGTCATCCCACCATTAGCACTTCATTCCTCTGTATCTCTAAGGAGGCTTTTCTGGAGGAGTAGACCTCTAAGGAGGTCTACTTCTGGAGACCCCTATTGACATTCAAATTTTTATAGAAAGAGGATTTTAGCAGGGATTAGTAACAGGAGGAAATAAATTCCTTAGCCTGGCATATAAGATCCTGTACAATCAGATCGGGAATTCCTGACTGCCTGGATTATCTGTCCACCACACCACCTCACCCAGCTAATTTTTGTATTTTTTGTAGAGACGGGGTTTCCCAGTGTTGCCCAGGCTGGGCTCAAACTCCTGGCCTGTAACCTTCTCCTAGTCTGTCTCTCTTCCTTTTTTCATTAGACATTTATTTAGAACATACTGTATTGTGCTAGCATTGTGAAACATTGTGTCAAAGATTTTTTTTTTTTTTTATTCTTCACAGCACCCAGAACACAGCTAGGCACATAGTGGGGAAACAATAAATCCTAGGTCAAACTCGTCTTAAATTCCTTTCACCTCTAGAATTTGATAAATTCTAACTTGTATATGTAGGTGGGCGTGTATTGCTTTCTACAATCCTCCCTGTAAGCAAAATGTGAAAGTGCAAAACAGAGACATCTTACAATATGTCTTCAGAAACATCGCTCTTCATTTAAAAAATATTTATTTTGTGCTTACTATGAGCTAAATCTCATGCTAGGTGCTAGAAATACAGACATGAGGCTAGGCATACTGGCTCATGCCTGTAATCCTAACACTTTGCAAGACCGAGGTGGGAGGATCACTTGAGGCCAGGAGTTTGAGACCAATCTAGGCAACATAGTGAGATCCCGTCTCTATGACAAAAGAAATACACACATGAAAAAACGCAGTCCTTGTTTTCAAGAAGCTTTATGTCCAGTGGGGAGGAGGAGAAGGCAAAAACACTAATGGTGTTGGAGAAAATAAAGCACTGTGTTTAAATTTAGGAAGACTTGAGTTTAAGTTCTGATTCTGGGCCTGGTGCAGTGGGTCACACCTGTAATCCCAACACTTTAGGAGGCCAAGGTGGGCAGATCACCTGAGATCAGGAGTTCAAGACCAGCCTGACCAACATGATGAAACCCCGTCTGTACAAAAAATACAAAAATTAAACAAGCATGCTGTTGTGCGCCTCTAGTCCCATCTACTCGGGAGGCTGAGGCAGGAGAATCTCTTGAACTTGGGAAGCGGAGGTTGCAGTGAGCCTAGATCGTGCCATTGCACTCCAGCCTGGGCGATGGAGCAAGACTCCGGCTCAAAATAAACAAATAAATTAAATAAAATAAAAAGTATATGCTTAGGTTATATGCAAATACTACGATGTCATTTAATATAAGGGACTTGAACATCTGTGGATTTTGGTATACTGGGGGAGGATTGTGTCCTGGAATAAATATCCCATGGATACTGGGTGTAGACTATACATTGCTTATTTAAAAAACAAAATTTTTTTTTTGGCTGGGCACAGTGGCTCATGGCTGTAATCCCAGCACTTTGGGAGGCTGAGGTGGGAGGATCACTTGAGGCCAGGAGTTCAAGATCAGCCTGGGCAATATAGCTAGACCTGTCTCTATAAAAAATTTTAAAAGCCAGGCACAGTAGCTCACGTCTGTAATCCCCAGCACTTTGGGAGGCTGAGGTGGGTGGATCATGAGGTCAGGAGATCGAAACCATCCTGGCTAACACAGTAAAACCCCGTCTCTACTAAAAATACAAAAAATTAGCTGGGCATGGTGGCACACACTTGTAGTCCCAGCTACTCAGGAGGCTGGGGCAGGAGAATCGCTTGAACCCGGGAGGCGGAGGTTGCAGTGAGCCGAGATCGTGCCGTCTCAAAAAAAATTTTTTTTTAATTAGCTGGGCTCAGGGGCTCACGTCTGTAATCCCAGCACTTTGGGAGGCCGAGGCAGGCGGACCACCTGAGCTCAGGAATTCGTGACCAGCCTGGCCAACGTGGTGAAGCCCCGTCTGTACTAAAAATACAAAAATTAGCTGGGTATAGTTCCAGGTGTCTGTAATCCCAGCTACTTGGGAAGCTGAGGCAGGAGAATCGCTTGAGCCTGGGAGGTGGAGGCTGCAGTGAGCCGAGATCACACCACTGCACTCCAACCTGGCAACAGAGCAAGACTCCGTCTCAAGAAGGAAAAAAAAAAAAGGCCTATTGGATTAGTTAAATTAGGGCCGAGCCCGATTACCTAATTGAAACTTAATTACCTCAATTACCTCTTTAAACATCCTAATTCCAAATACAGTCACATTCTGTAGTACTTCAACATATGAACTGGGGTGGGAGGATCATAATTCAGTCCATACAACATCCTAGAAATCTGATCTTCCCTCATAAGCTATTATGTTCATATTCATATACAATGGATTTCTCTCTGAAAGCGTACAACCTTCAATAGCCCTAAATATTTGCTTAAACATTATTTAGATCATAAAAGTAACACCTGAGGTTTGGTTTTGTTTTTTTTTTAGATGGAGTCTCGCTGTATCACCCAGGCGGGAGTGCAGTGGCGTAATCTCGGCTCACTGCAACCTCCGCCTCCCGAGTTTAAGCAGTTCTCCTGCCTTAGCCTACAGAGTAGTGGGACTACAGGCGCGCGCCACCATGCCCGGCTAATTTTTGTATTTTTAGTAGAGATGGGGTTTCACCATATTGGCCAGGCTGATCTTGAACTTCTGACCTCGTGATCCACCCGCCTTGGCTTCCCAAAGTGCTGGGATTAGAGGCGTGAGCCACCTCGCTGGGTGTAAGACCTGAGTATTAAAAGCAATTTGAAATTACAGAGAAGTGAAAATGTTATCTAAATTGCCATTTTCTAAACACAGCCCATGTTACTATTTTTTTTTTTTTTGAGACCCAGTTTCGCTCTTGTTGCCTAGGCTGGAGTGCAATGGTGCAATCTTGGCTCACCGCAACCTCCGCCTCCCGGGTTCAAGTGATTCTCCTGCCTCAGCCTCCTGAGTAGCTGAGATTACAGGCATGCGCCACCATGCCCGGCTAATTTTTTTGTATTTTTGGTAGAGACGGGGTTTCTCCATGTTGGTCAGGCTGGTCTCGAACTCCCGACCTCAGGTGATCCACCTTCCTCGGCCTCCCAAAGTGCTGGGATTACAGGCATGAGCCACCGCGCCCGGCCCATGTTATTACTCTTTTGATGTATTTTTATAGACTTTCTTTCTTATGCATACTGTTCTTACATAGTTATATTTACTCACAGATTTGGTTTTGGCTTTTTATACCTAAATGTACACAGCAAGCATTTTCCCATGTCCTGGCATGTTTTTTGAAAATGTTGTTTATAAAGGCTGCATAATATGGGATCTAGCATGAATACCATAATTTACTTAACCATTTCTCTACAGTCAGATATGTCAGATGCTTCCAATATTTGCAGTTATAAATAAACCTGAGAGAAATGTTTTTTCTGCATAACAATTTTTCCATTTGTAAAATTATTTCCTTAGGGCCGAGTATGAGAATGGATTTGAATGCTTTAATATATTATGACTTTTTTTTTCCAAAAAGTTTATGCCAATTTGTATTCCTATTACGCAAATAAGAGCGTGCCTTTTTAAAATTTTGAGATGGGGCATTACTATGTTGCCCAGGCTGGTCTCCAACTCCTGAGCTCAAGCAGTCCTCCTGCCTCGGCCTCCCAAAGTACTGGAATTACAGGAGTGAGTCACCTTGCCTGGCCCAAGAGTGCTTCTTTTAGTAAACATTGATTAGCACTGGGTAGCATCATTATTTTTACTCTTTATTAATTTGGTGGGCAACATGTGTATTTTTTTTTTTTTGAGACAGAGTCTCACTCTGTCGCCCAGGCTGGAGTGCAGTGGCTCAATCTTGGCTCACTGCAAGCTCCGCCTCCTGGGTTCACGCCATTCTCCTGCCTCAGCCTCCCGAGTAGCTGGGACTACAGGCGCCCACCACCACACCTGACTAATTTTTTATATTTTTAGTAGAGACGGGGTTTCACCGTGTTAGCCAGGATAGTCTCAATCTCCTGACCTCGTGATCCACCCACATCGGCCTCCCAAAGTGGTGGGATTACAGGCGTGAGCCACCGTGCCCGGCCAACATGTGTATTGTTATTATTATTTGCATTTAAAAATTTCTAGTGGCGGCCAGACACAGTGGCTCACGCCTGTAATCCCAGCACTTTGGGAAGCCAAGGCAGGCAGTTCACAAGGTCAGGAGTTCGAGACCAGCCTGACCAACAGGGTGAAACCTCATCTCTACTCCAAATACAAAAAATTAGCCAGGGGTGGTGGCATGCACCTGTAATCCCAGCTACTCAGGAGGCTGAGACAGGAGAATTGCTTGAACCCGGGAGGCAGAGCTCGCAGTGAGCCGAGATCGCGCCACTGCACTCCAGCCCAGGCGACAGAGCAAGACTGTCTCGAAAAAAAAAAAAAAGTTTGTAGTGGCTGAATGCTCTGTATCACACCTGTAATCCCACCTCTTTGGGAGGCCGAAGTGGGAGAAACGCTTGAGTCCAGGAATTTGAGACCAGCCTGGACAATATAGTGAAACTTAATCTCCACAAAAAATAAAAAAATTAGCTGGGCCTGTTGGCTCATGCCTGCAGTCCCAGCTACTTGGGAGGCTGAGGCAGAAGGATCATTTGAGCCCAGGAGGTTGAGGCTGCAGTGAGTCGTGATCATGTCACTGCACTCTAGTCTCGGCGACAGAGTGGGATGTTTCAAAAAAATAAAATATAATAAAATAAATTCTAGGGGGGAAGGGGAAGGGATTGCATTAGGAGATATACCTAATGTAAATGACGAGTTAATGGGTGCAGCACACCAAGATGGCACATGTATACATATGTAACAAACCTGCATGTTGTGTACATGTACCCTGGAACTTAAAGTATCATTAAAAAAAAAAAAAGTAGGCTGGGCACGGTGGCTCACGCCTGTAATTCCAGCACTTTGGGAGGCGGAGGCAGGCAGATCACGAGGTCAGGAGATCGAGACCATCCTGGCTAACACGGTGAAACTCCGTCTCTACTAAAAATGCAAAAAAAATTAGCTGGGCATGGTGGTGGCGGGCACCTGTAGTCCCAGCTACTTGGGAGGCTGAGGCAGAAGAATGGCGTGAACCCGAGAGGCGGAGCTTGCAGTGAGCAGAGATTGCACCACTGCACTCCAGCCTGGGCTACAGAGCGAGACTCTGTCTCAAAAAAAATTAATTAATTAATTAATTCTAGTGAGGTATAATATTTTTCCACCTGTTTGCTGGTTAGCTGTATTCCCACTTTTGGGAACTGTGGTATGTTTGTCCATTTATCTACTGAATTTTCAGTGTTTTTGTCAATTTGTATGAGTTCTTTTTATGGTAAAAATATTAATAATTTATAAATTTGTGTTTTTCTCCCCTGATCTATCATTAATTTTGGTCTTTTTAATGTTACATAGAGGGCTAGGGATGGTGGCTGAAGCCTGTAGCCCCAGTGCTTTGGGAGACCAAGGCAAGAGGATCACTGGGGCCAGGAGTTCAAGATTAGGCTGGGCAACATAGCAAGACCCCATTTCTACAAAAATTAAATTAAATTAGATTTAAAAATTAACCAGGCGTGTTGGCATTCACCTGTAGTCCTGGCTACTGGGGAGGCTGAGGTGAGAGGATCACCTGAGCCCAGGAGGTCCAGGCTGCAGTGAGCCCTGATCCCGCCACTGCATTCCAGCCTGCGTGACAGAGTAACACCTTGTCTCAAAAAAAGAAAAAAAATGACAATTTTCTATAGAGTGGCAGCTTGGCTTAGTAGAAAGAGCACAGGCTTTGGAATAAAAGTTTAGAATCCTGGGTCACCTATTTAATGTGTCCTCTACTCCCTGTTTTGTAAAATCAGACAAATTACCTTGAATATTTATAATTGGGATAAAGATAAGATGAACTGTGCCTGACAGACAACAAATGTTAGCTTTTCCCTATTGTCTTAAGCCACTTGGTATATGAACGTTGTCAGAATCAAAATCGAGTCACTTGTGTGAAAACAAGAAGAAGAAAAAAACTCTGACAAATAGTGCTGAGGAAGACCATGAAGAGAAGATTCTGATACATAAATGCCTGATAACAGAAACTGTCACAGAAGACTGCCAAACTGCAACCTTGGACAACGGCCCACAATCGTATACAAAAAATACTTCTGCAAAGGACATTTGCCCAACAACTGCCTGCCCAACCTCAAACTAGCATGATCCTTTTTATTAATCCTTGGATTCATAGCCAAGGATAATTATCTCAAAACAATTGTGCAATTCTTATCTTTCCTTTGAAAATCTTTGTCCTCCTTTACTTTCCCGAATACACACATAGTTTACTATGGTATGTGAATTCCCATTGCAATGCCTTATTCCTGAATAAATACCATTTTCTTTAGAGAGCCTCTCTCTGATATTTAAATTAACAGGTATATGGAGTGCAGTGTGGTTCTAAATCTTTTTCCCTAGATTGCTAACAAATTGCCTCCTTACTTACTTTTAGCTATTCCTGTCAGGGGAAGTCTCTTTTTTTTTTTTTTTTTTTTTTTTTTCCGAGATGGAGTCTCGCTCTGTCGCCCAGGCTGGAGTGCAATGGCATGATCTTGGCTCACTGCAACCTCTGCCTCCCAGGTTCAAGCCTCCAGAGTAGCTGGGACTACAGGCGCGTGCCATCATGCCCGACTAATTTATGTATTTTTAGTAGACACGGGGTTTTGCCATGTTGGCCAGGCTGGTCTCAAACTCCTGACCTTGTGATCTGCCTGCCTCTGCTTCCCAAAGTGCTGGGATTACAGGCGTGAGCCACCGCACCCGGCCAGAGTTTCACTCTTATTGCCCAGGCTGGAGTGCAATGGCACAATTTCGGCTCACCGCAACCTCCATCTGCCAGGTTCAAGTGATTCTCCTGCCTCAGCCTCCCAAGTAGCTGGGATTACAGGCATGTGCCACCACGCCTGGCTAATTTTGTATTTTTAGTAGAGATGGGGTTTCTCCATGTTGGTCAGACTGGTCTCGAACTCCTGACCTCAGGTGATCCACTCGCCTCAGCCTCCCAAAGTGCTGGGATTACAGGCGTAAGCCACTGCCCCTGGCCAATTTTTTGACTTTTTGTAGAGATGAGATCTCCCTGTGTTGCCCAAGCTGGTCTTGAAATACTGGGCTCAAGTGATCCTCCTACCTTGGCAACCCAACGTGCTGGGATTACAGATGTGAGCCTCTATGCTTGGTCTATTTTTATTTTTATTTAGAGATGAGGTCTTGCTATGTTTCCAAGGCTGAACTTGTTACTGAATTGAACTAGGGTCCATTTGCCTGGTGCAGTAAACCAAACAAGTATATTGAGGTTTTGTAGTGGGAGAAAGGAGGGCATTTATTTTCAGGGCACCAAGCAAGAAGAATCAGGCAGCTCATGCTTAAAACGTGACCTCCTGGCCGGGTGCAGTGGCTCACGCCTGTAATCCCAGCACTTTGGGAGGCCGAGGCGGGTGGATCACGAGGTCAGGAGATCGAGACCATCCTAGCTAACATGGTGAAACCCCGTCTCTACTAAAAATACGAAAACAAAATTAGCCGGGCATGGTGGCAAGTGCCTGTAGTCCCAGCTACTTGGGAGGCTGAGGCAGGAGAATGGTGAGAACCTGGGAGGCAGAGCTTGCAGCGAGCTGAGATTGCGCCACTGCACTCCAACCTGGGCAACAGAGCGAGACTCCATCTCAAAAACAAAACAAAACAAAACAAAAAAACAAAAAACAAAAAAAAAGTGACCTCCTGAATGGCTTATAAGCAAAGACTTTGTTTTTATTGAAACAGTGTCTTGCTGTGTTGCCCAGGCTGGAGTGCAGTGATGTGATCATGGCTCACTGCATCCTTGACCTCCAAGGCTCAATTGATTCTCCCACCTCAGCCTCCTTAGTAGTTGGTACTACAGGTGTGCACCACCAGCGCTGGCTAATATTTGCATTTTTTTTATAGAGATGAGATTTTGCCATGTAGCCCAGGCTGTTCTCGAACTCTTGGCTTCAAGCAATCTGCTGGCCATGGCATCCCCCAATCCTGGGATTACAGGCATCAGCCACTGTGCCTGGCCATAGCAAAGGGATTTTTTTTTTTTTTGGTTTTGTTTCTTTGAGATGGAGTCTTGCTATGTTGCCCAGGCTGGAGTGTAGTGGTGCAATCTGGCTCATTGAAACCTCCACCTCCTGGGTTCAAATTATTGTGCTTCAGCCTCCCAAGTAGCTGGGACTACAGGCATGTACCACCACACCCAGCTAATTTTTGTAATATATATATATATATATTTGAGACAGAGTCTTGCTCTGTCGCCCGGGCTGGAGTGCAGCCGTGTGATCTCTGCTCACTGCAACCTCTGCCTCCCGTGTTCAAGCAATTCTCCCACCTCAGCCTCCCAAGTAGCTGGGATTACAGGCGCACACCACCATGCCCGGCTAATTTTTAAATTTTTTTTTAGTAGACACGGGGTTTCACCATGTTGGCCAGCCTGGTCTCAAAATCCTGACCTTGTGATCCGCCCTCCTTGGCCTCCCAAAGTGCTGAGATTACAGGCATGAGCCACTGCGCCCAGCCAGGCTTGCTTTCTTTCTTTTTTTTTTTTTTTTGACAGAGTCTTGCTCTGTTGCCCAGGCTGGAGTGCAGTGGTATGAGCTCGGCTCACTGCAACCTCTACCTCTCGGGTTCCAGTGATTCTTGTGCCTCAGCCACCTGAGTAGCTGGGACTACAGGTGTGTACCATCACTCCTGGCTAATTTTTGTATTTTTTAGTAGAGATGGGGTTTTGCCATGTTGGCCATTCTGGTCTTGAACTCCTGGGCTCAAGGGACCATCCCCTCTTGGCCTCCCAAAGTGCTGGGGTTACAGGCATGAACCACTGTGTCTGGCCTAAGCAAAGGTTTTTAACCCTTTCCTGGTTTAGAAAAAAAAAAGTGCAGCTCGCTGCCAGTGCTCATTTAATTTCACATAAACATGCTCATTGAGGCCGAAGCAAATCTGACTGGTTTTCAATGTGAACATAAAATTTAAAAAACTGTTCTTGGAGTTATTTCTAAACAGAGCTAAGATCAGGATCATCTGAATCATCAGAATTGTCTATTTTGGAAAAATTGGATTCGTGAAATGAGTCTCCGGCCAACAACTCTTTGAGAATGATGTTAAAATCACATGTAGGACTGCTGTGTTTTCTAGGATTTGACATTATCGGCGATTGAGAATTACTATATTTTGTAAATGGAAATACTACTACCAAAACCAGAATGCTATAAATAGAACGATGTCTTTTGTTTCCAAAGTCAATACTAGAGCAATTCGAAATCCTCCTTCCTAGGCCTCCAAAAGTGCTGGGATTACAGGTGTAAGTCACCATGCCCAAAAGGCCTCACACAGTGACATTATGATTACTTCTTTTGGTCACTGCATTTAAAGTTCAGCATCTCAGGCCGGGCGCAATGGCTCACCCCTGTAATCCCAGCACTTTGGGAGGCCAAGGTGGGTGGATCATCTGAGGTCAGAAGTTCAAGACCAGCCTGGCCAACATGGTGAAACCCCATCTCTACTAAAAATACAAAAATTAGCCGGGCCTGGTGGCATGCACCTATAATCCCAGCTACTCAGGAGGCTGAGGCAGGAGCATCACTTGAACCCGCCTGGCCAGTTGTTTTTCGTTTTCTTAAAAATAGAGGTGGGGTTGCTTGGCGCAGTGGCTCATGCCTGTAATCCCAGCACTTTGGGATTTGTGGACGTTGCAGTGAGCCAAGATCGTGCCACTGCACTCCAGCCTGGGCAACAAGAGTGAAACTCCGGCTCAAAAAAAAAAAAGAGGTGGGGTCTCACTATGTTGCCCAGGCTGGTCTTGAACTCCTGAGCTCAAGTGATCCTCCCACTTTGGACTCCCAAAATTCTGGGATTACAGGCATGAGCTATTGTGCCTGGCTTCCAGTACACTAATTTTCATTTTCTTTTCCTTTCCTTTCCTTTCTCTTTAGCTTTTTTTTTTTTTTTAAAGGAGTCTCGCTCTGTCGCCCAGGCTGGAGTGCAATGGCGCGATCTCACTGCAACCTCTGCCTCTTGGATTCAAGCAATTCTCCTGCCTCAACCTCCCTAGTAGCTGGGATTACAGGCATGTGCCACCATGCCATGCTAATTTTTTGGTATTTTTAGTAGAGATGGGGTTTCACTACATTAATCAGGCTGGTCTCAAACTCCTGACCTCAGGTGCTCCACCCAGCTCAGCCTCCCAAAGTGCTGGCATTACAGGCATGAGCCACTGCGCCTGGCCAGTACACTAATTTTCAGTCAAGCCAAATAACATATGGTTCTCTGGTCAACAGCACATTCACTTCTCTGGAGGAAAGTATTAAATAGCAGCCAAATTCTAATCAGTAGGTTGCTTGAAAACATGGAACACAGGTTAGGGAACCTTATGGTTAATAGGCATGGAACACCCATCTTCATCTGCTAAAGGCAGAAATCTGCTAAGGGGTCAAAATGTTCTAAGTGCTGGTTAGGCCACCCTGTTTCTTGCAAGGCATACGCTTTTGCTTATTAAGGTTCATTTTTTTTTTTTAAGACTCTAGGAAGCCTATTTTCCTCTCTGTTATCACATTCTTTTTTTTTTTTGGAGACGAAGTCTTGCTCTTTTGCCCAGGCTGGAGTACAGTGGCATGATCTTGGCTCACTGGAAGCTCCGCCTCCCAGGTTCACACCATTCTCCTGCCTCAGCCTCCCGAGTAGCTGGGACTACAGGCGCCCGCCACCACGCCCGGCTAATTTTTTTGTATTTTTAGTAGAGACGGGATTTCACCGTGTTAGCCAGGATGGTCTCATCTCCTGACCTCGTATTATCACATTCTTTAGGCAGGGTATAATGCATTTGATTATGACATTTATTTTACAATTAAGAGAGTACATTAGATTTCAACTGTGAACCAGGTGCAGTGGGTCACGCCTGTAATTCCAACACTTTGGGAGGCCAAGGTGGGCAGATCACCTGAGGCCGGGAGTTTGAGACCAGCCTGGCCAACACAGCAAAACCCGTCTCTACTAAAAATACAAAAATTAGCTGGGTATAGCCGGGCGCGGTGGCTCATGCCTGCAATCCCAGCACTTTGGGAGGTCGAGGCAGGTGGATCATGAGGTCAGCAGATCGAGACCATCCTGGCTAACACAGTGAAACCCTGTCTCTACTAAAAATACAAAAAATTAGCCGGGCATCGTGGCGGGGCCCTGTAGTCCCAGCTACTTGGGAGGCTGAGGCAGGAGAATGGCATGAATCCAGGAGGTGGAGCTTGCAGTGAGCCGAGATTGCGCCACTGCACTCCAGCCTGGGCTACAGAGCGAGACTCAGTCTCAAAAAAAAAAAAATTAGCTGGGTATGGTGGTGCCTGCCTGTAGTTCCAGCTACTTGGGAGGCTGAGGCATGGGAATCGGTTGAACCCAGGAGGTGAAGGTTGCAGTGAGTTGAGATCGCCCGCTGCACTCCAGCCTGGGCGACAGAGTGAGACCCGGTATCAAAAAAAGAAAAAAAAAAAGATTTCAACTGTGATTAGCTTTATCTAGTTTGTGAAAATTCTGCTTTGGAGTTTTTTATTAAGAAAATAAATATATGTATATATAAATAGAGATGGAGTCTTGCTATATTGCCCAGGCTGGTCTTGAACTCCTGGCCTCAAGTGAGCCTCCCATCTCGGCCTCCTAGAGTGATAGGATTACAGGCGTGAGGCACCACACCTGTTCTGCTTTGGAGTTTATATGCCTTGATTGTATCCTCCTAAATCTCAGCCACCTATTACTATTACTGGTTGTTTCTGAAGACGGGCCTCATCTAAGAATTACTGATTCCAGATCCCGGTGCAGTGGCACACTGCCTGTAGTCTCAGCTAGTCTGGAGGCTGAGGTGGGAAGACTGCCTGAGTTCAGGAGCTAAAGGCTATAGTACACTATAATTACACCTGTGAATAGGTACTGCACTCTGGCCTGGGCAACATAGCAAGACCCTGTCTAAGAAAAAAAAGAATGATTTCACACACCTATCTATCATATTGCCACCCATTTGTACAGACTTCAGAACCCAGGTTTCTGATAAATTCTCCAGTGTATCTTCCATGACATTATGTGCTCACTTTAGTCCAGCAAGAAGACTGAAGCAAACAAAAACTGGTAAAAAAGATGGGGATGGCCAGGTGCAGTGGCTCATGCCTGTAATCGCAGCACTTTGGGAGGCCAAGGCAGTCGGATCACGAGGTCAGGATATCGAGACCATCCTGGCTAACACGGTGAAACCCCGTCCCTACTAAAAAATATTAAAACAATTAGCCGAGCATGGTGGCGGGAGCCTGTAGTCCCAGCTACTTGGGAGGCGGAGGCAGGAGAAAGGCGTGAATCCGGGAGGCGGAGCTTGCCGCGAGCCGAGATCGCGCCACTGCACTCCAGCATGGGCGACAGAGTGAGACTCTGTCTCAAAAAAAAAAAAAAAAAAAAAGATGGGGATGTCCTTTGCAGTCACAGGATGTGAAATTAGTTTTAGTTTCAGAGTCAATGTCTCAGAGTCAAGCTGGGTGGATAAGGTGAATGATATCCTTTGTGTGAGGGACGGGGAGGGAAAGGCTAGTTCTGTTGCATCCAGGTCCCAATAACAGTAATCAGTGAGGTTTTAGGGCTTTGATGTTCTTATTTTCTCTGATCCTAGGTTCTTGGTAGGACTTCTTGCTTAATAAATGATAATGTAATAAAAGTAACCAGCACAGTGTCCCTGACACAGAAAAGGCAGATGTTTTTGAAAATGAATTTAACAAGAAATTGAGGCCTGGAGAAGTGACACAGCTTGTACAGGGTCACAGAGCTAACACGTGGTCTCTGGTCTTCCTTTTCATAAAGCTAATCTTTTTTTTTCCTTTTTTTTGAGACAGAATTTTGCTCTTGTTGCTCAGGCTGGAGTGCAATGGTACGATCTCAGCTCACTGCAACCTCCGCCTCCCAGGTTCAAGCAATTCTCCTGCCTCAGCCTCCCGAGTAGCTAGGATTACAGGCATACACTACCATGCCAGGCTAATTTTGGGTTTTTAGTAGAGACAGGCCTTCTCCATGTTGGTCAGGCTGGTCTTGAACTCCCGACTTCAAGTGATCCACCTGCCTCGGCCTCACAAAGTGCTGGGATTACGGATGTGAGCCACTGCGCCCGACCTCATAAAGTTAATCTTCTTTTTTTTTTTTTGAGAGGAATCTTGCTCTGTTGCCAGGCTGGAGTGCACTGGCTCGATCTTGGCTCACTGCAACCTCCGACTCCCGGGTTCAGGTGATTCCCCTGCCTCAGCCTCTGGAGTAGCTGGGACTACAGGTGCGCACCACAGGTGCACCACCACACCTAGCTAGTTTTTGTATTTTTAGTAGAGACGGGGTTTCACCATGTTGGCCAGGATGGTCTCAATCTCTTGACCTTGTGATCCGCCTACCTTGGCCTCCCAAAGTGCTTGGCCACCGCGCTGGGCCAAGTTAATCTTATAATTACGTAAGTTATATACCAGTGCCTTCTCCAAGTAAAAAGCGAAAACGTTAGACTGCAGTCCCTTTGGGCCAGCAACCCCAATCACAAACCTCTTTCCCACCCCTCAGAGCCAGCCACTGTTATCAAGTTTGTATATTCCTTTCAGAATCCTTTTCTCCTGATCTGTCATTTTTTTTCTTTTTGAGGCGGACTTTTGCGCTTGTCACCCAGGCTGGAGGGCAATGGCATGATCTCAGCTTACTGCAACCTCCGCCTTCCAGGTTCAAGTGATTCTCCTGCCTCAGCCTCCCGGGTAGCTGGGATGACAGGCACCCGCCACCATGCCTGGCTAATTTTTGTATTTTTAGTAGAGACGGGGTTTCACCATGTTGGCCAGGCTGGTCTTGAACTCTGGACCTCAGGTGATCCGCCCGCCTTGGCCTCCCAAAGTGTTGGGATTACAGGCATGAGCCACCATGCCTGGCCTGATCTGTCCATTAAGTCTTTGACTCTCAAGGGTGGTTTTTATCTCTGATGCTCCCACACATTTCTATAAAGCAGCAGGGCAAACAGGAGGAAGACGAACAGACAAGACACAATCCTAGCTCATTGTCAAAAGAGGTGAGATAAGATACACCTACACATGAATGGTGATGATGATAAGTTCTGTTTTTTTTTTGTTTTTTTTTTTTTGAGATGGAGTCTCACTCTGCCTCCCAGGCTGGAGTGCAGTGGCACAATTTTGGATCACGACAACCTCTGCCTCCTGGGTTCAAGTGATTCTCCTGCCTCAGCTTCCCAAGTAGCTGGGATTACAGGCGCCCGCCACCACGCCCGGCTAATTTTTTGTATTTTTTTAGTAAAGACAGGGTTTCACCATGTTGGCCAGGCTGGTCACAAACTCCTGACCTCAGGTGATCCACCCACCTTGGCCTCCCAAAGTGCTGGGATTACATGCGTGAGCCATCACGCCCGGCCCAGTTCTGTTTGTTAAAGGCACAGTTTAAGCATTCTTTGTTTTTTTTTTTGTTTGAGACAGAGTCTTGCTCTGTCGAACAGCCTGGAGTGCAGTGGTGCTATCTTGGCTCACTGCAACCTCCACCTCCTGTGTTCAAGTGATTCTCCTACCTCAGCCTCCTGAGTAGCTGGGATTACAGGCGTGTGCCACCACGCCAGGCTATTTTTTTTTTTTTTTTTTGAGACGGAGTCTTGCTCTGTCGCTCAGGCTGGAGTGCAGTGGCGCGATCTCGACCCACTGCAAACTCCGCACGCCATTCTCCTGCCTCAGCCTCCCGAGTAGCTGGGACTACAGGCGCCCGCCACCACGCCCGGCTAATTTTTTTGTATTTTTAGTAGAGACTGGGTTTCACCGTGTTAGCCAGGATGGTCTCGATCTCCTGACCTCGTGATCGGCCCGCCTTGGCCTCCCAAAGTGTTGGGATTACAGGCGTGAGCCACCGCGCCCGGACATTTTTTTGTATTTTTAACAGAGACGGGGTTTCACCGTGTTGGTCAGGCTGGTCTCAAACTCCGTATCTTGTGATCCGCCCTCCTCCGGCTCCCAAAGTGCTGAGATTACAGGTGTGAGCCACCACGCCCGGCAGCATTCTTTAATTCAGATGAATAACAAAGGCTTTATTTGAACTAGATAGGGCTGTTTAAGATGTCAATTGTTTTACTTAATAACTAGCAAATTAGTAATTAGCATAGTGCCCTGTACAAAGTTCAGTATAAGCTAATTTCCCCTTTCTACCTTACTTAGACCTTTTGGGCCCGATGGGTAGAGTGTGAAAATGATTACTGATACTTACTGAGGGTTTATTATGTGTCAAGCAGGCATTTTACATAATCTCATTTAATTTTCACAAGCCGGTGAAGTGTTATTACAGAGGAAAGCTCCAATTGAGATAAGGCATGCCGGGACTGCAAAGTCCTTGTATGTAACTAGCTTGGGATAAAACAGGCCAGTAAGTAGACCTTGAGAGCTTGTTTAGAGGACCTTGAGAGCTTGTTAACACGGGCGTGCAGCTACTCCTATATCCTTGACTTGTCCTCTTCTATGGGGGATGCTCCTCCTTTTCGACCGAATATGCAGCTTCGGGAGGGACGCACATGGAGAGGTGCGGGAGGAAGGGGCCACCCGCCTAGACAGCCAGATCAGCCGAATCAGCCCTGGCGATCTATGGGGTGACAAGATAGCCAGAACGCCCTCACATCCAAACAGGCCAGTAAATGGAAAATACTTTAAAACACCATGCTACAATTATAAACCATCATCTTATTTATTCGTAATTCTTGGAGTTGACAACAGGTCAGATCCTATTGAGAGGAGGTCATTAATTTTCTAAAGACAGAAAACCTGGGTCTCTTCGGTCAACAAACAACTCTAAGGTTCTTTTTTTAAATCCTTAAATAGGGAAAATCCTGGACTCAAGGAGTTGATTATATGATATAACAGAAATAAACGGCTGACTTGGAGTAGGCGTTCAGTAGATTCTAGTCTTTTCACCCAGAAGGGGCTTGGGAGGGCAAAAGTAAAACCGCACTGAAAAAGACTAAAAGTGGGCGCACCTTCCGCCTTGCCGAGGCTCTCGCTGCTAGCCGTTGGCGTTTTCCCGCGCAGGGGGCAGGGCGCAGAGCGAGCCCAGGAACGTGGGAGCGGAACCCCACCCCCCGCCAGGACTACACCTCCCAGCAGGCACCACGCTCCGCCACATGGCGGGCGGCATCCAATGGTATTAGTCCTTCAAGCCAGCTTAGTCCGCTTTCCGTCCCGGCCTTCCCTCGGCTCTAAGGTCTCTAGGGGGTTCGTCTAGAAGCCCGCTGGAGAAAGGCTGCGGTAGGGGTCGCCTTGGCTGTGCAGCATGTTGGGAGTCGTGGTCCCCTCGTGCAACATTTGGGAGGCCAGGCTTGCCCTGAGTGGTTGGACCACATCACGTGATGAGCACAGGGCGGCCACAGGGGAGTAACCTGTGGTGCTTTGTGAGGTCATCACGGCGCGACGACGAGCTGCAGTTGTGGGCACCTTGTATGCGGTGGGTAATACTCTCCTGATGACTCCGAGTACAATACATATTATCAAGTCTCCCTTATTTGTTCCTTTCTGTGGTCCCCACCTCCACGCGGTTGGCTTCGCGGGGTTGGGGTGGAGGTGGTGGCTGGAAGAGGCCGCGCGCCGCCTAGGCTGACTCTGAAGCCGCGCACGAGCGACGTGTTGTGGCTCCTCCTTCGCCCGTGACGCGAGGTCACGTGACGGGTTGGGCAGCCTGTGCCGCCGCCGCCGCTTTGTAAGAGGCACATTGGCAGGTAACGAGCGGCGGCGGCGGCAGCGGGTCTTGGGTCCTCCGAGAGCAGCAGCGGTAATTGCCATCCTCTCCCTCTCCTTCCCTCTTCCAGGGCCCTGAGCGCTGCAGCGTGTGCTTTCTAATTCTGGGTTCAGCTCGTCTGAAACCCCACCGCCTGCAGACTGCCCCGGCGCCCACCCGTGAGGACCGGGCCGAGCTTCACTCGCCAGGTCCACGGTCCCTCTACGTCCAGGCCCGGGCTCCCTCCTTCCTCTTCCCCTCACGTTGCCCTGTGCTTCTTCCTACTTTCCCCCGTCCAGGTCGGCTGGGCCCCACCCAGCCCCAGGGGTGCCTCCCCTCCCCCCTTTCGGGTTTCTGCCCTGGAGGGTGTGGTTTTCTCTCCCACCTCGGTGCCTGCCAGTAGACTGGAGCTTCCCCGCCACGCTGTCGGTCCCATCTCATCACCTTTCCGCTTTCACGCCCGTAGCTAGTCTTGGGACTGGCCCTGTTATAGCCCCAACTTATGCGCTCTCTAACCTTTCCTGGCTTACCCGGAGTCACAGTTCAGTTCTACTTCTTTTCAATTCTGTAGGGCATTGGTCTCAATTGGGACTCAGTTTTCCTCCACACCCGCCGTTCCTGTAGTCTGGTTATATCACAGTTCATTATTTAATGTAGGTTTTTGAGCGCTTTGTAAACGGCAAAGCTCTCTCTGTTAATAATACATACTCAAAATGTTATTCTTTCATTGGTGCATTACAACTCAGTTGTTTGCCTCTGAATCACTTTCCCACTCGGCTTTTCCACATTTTCCCCTGAGTTTTTAGTCTAATTAGTTGCCCACGCATCTCAACTGTCACCACTCTGGTCTCTAATGCTTGCTCGCTTTAGGGGTTGATCCCATCATTATTACTGTTATTTCCTGTTTGATGTAATCCAGTCATTTACTACCACTTCTATTGGATATTGTTTTTACCTCACATTCAAGGAAGGTATATGGTTTGCCAGTATTTAGGCTTATTGTCTTTCTACAGCACCAGTGTATCCTAACAGTTGAGAGATTTTAAAAAATTACTATTAATTTTAGAGATATGGTCTCCATATGTTGCCCAGGCTGGCCTCCAGCTCCTGGGTTTAAGCGATTCTTTCACCTCAGCCTCCTGAGTATCTGGGATTACAGTGTGCACCACGGTGCTCAGCTAGTTGAGGGTTTTTTCAGGTCTCCATAAGGTATCCAAAGATTATCTTTTATTTGAAGGGCATATAATTTCTTGGGTGAACCCAGTTCTTATATTCCTCTTCCGTTGTGACAGCACTTTTTTCAACAAGGGGTATGCGACTAGTTATTGCATTCCTCACTTTTCACTGTGAATTGTGTATCCGTTTTAGTGCCAGTTTGTGAAAGGTGGAAGGAAGTTGAACATGATACCTAAGCTCTCCCGTATCCTACATTGGTGTGTTCCCCTTTTACCTCAGGAAAGGGAATGTATTCCACTCCCTGGAGATGATAGTTTCCTTCAATACACTCACCTGTGGAGCCCCTTCGCTAGGGTTGTCCTTCCATTGCTTTGAAGGCTTCTCTTATCATTAGGCAGAAGTGATTAGTTTCCCAAACTGCCCTTTTGCTTGCTGCCAGCATACTCCTGATTTTCCTACTTATGGCTAGTTGATACGTGTGACGAGAGATTTTCCCACAGCGCTGATTTCCCCCATTTGCTTCCCTGTTGCCTCTCACCCTCAATAATTATGAAACCTTTCAGAGAAGGAAGGTTTTTGTTGTGATTGAAATATGCCCGAAAGTGGTGGCATGGGAGAGAATGAGGCCATGGGAAAGGGTTGTGGTAATTGCCTCTCTTGCCTGTTTCCTGCTGCTCTG
The DNA here is from genome assembly GCF_000001405.40 of Homo sapiens. NCBI lineage: Eukaryota > Metazoa > Chordata > Mammalia > Primates > Hominidae > Homo > Homo sapiens. Next base: position 34,047,023 of record NC_000009.12, on the reverse strand, counting down.
GTTTCCTCTGTCCTCCCTTTAAATGTGGGCTGGATCAGCAGTAGTCACATGGAGTTGCCTTTAGAACTATATTGGAACAACAATAACACCTCTGCTTCCCTTTCCTGGTTACTAGTGCAGTCTATGTAGTGATCACCAGGAGTGTCTCTCTTAGTATTAGCCTGAGTGACTTTTATTGTATGGGGAGAAATGGTGTGATGGTGTGAGAACATGTAGACTAATAGGTTTATTTCAATATGTACTTGTATTGTGATGGGAACTGGTCCCGGTATCTACCCTCTTAAGTATAAAATATGTGTAGAAAGTACAAACCTTTCTTGAAGGTTTGGAGTGGTCTGAAGTGAAGCCTTCTTTTTTTTTTTTTTTTTTTTTTTTTTTTTGAGATGGAGTCTTGTTCTGTCGCCCAGGCTGGAGTGCAGTGGCCTGATCTCGGCTCACTGCAAGCTCCGCCTCCCGGGTTCACGCCATTCTCCTGGCTCAGCCTCCCGAGTAGCTGGCACTACAGGCACCCACCACCACGCCCGGCTAATTTTTTGTATTTTTCAGTAGAGATGGGGTTTCACTGTGTTAGCCGGGATGGTCTTGATCTCCTGACCCCGTGATCCGCCTGCCTCCCAAAGTGCTGGGATTGCAGGCGTGAGCCACCCCGCCCGGCATGAAGCCTTTACTTCTAAAATGTTAGCTTTGAATTGTTGATTTCCCAGTCCTCTTTTTTTTTTTTTTAAATGATGATTTATTGTTAAGATTTCCTTTGTTAATAAGACACTTTGTGGGGTTGGGGGGTGGGGGTGGTTAAGTATATTAGCAAGGGTTAATGCCTGCTCTAAAGAAGCAGTCTGCAGGCATTTACAGATTGTAAAGTTCTCTGCCCTTAAGCACATCTGTCTTTATTTTTCCTTGTGAGAAACCTGTATGTCAGCAAATACCCGTTCATTCTTAGTTGTTATTTTGAGTAAATGGAGCTCTTAGTTGTTATTTTGAGTAAATGGAGCGTTCTTAAAAGCTAAGTGTTATGGTACCCATGGTGTTGACTGGTAAGTTAGTAGATCTCTGATAGATTTTAGAAGCAGCCGTTTTTTCCAAAGAGTGGAGATACAACCTGAAGGAAGGCAAAGAGAGGGAGGACATGTAGGGAATATCACCATGTAATCTTTGTGGTAGATTTTGAAGTAATTTTGCCCCAACTATCAAGTATTTAGGAATAGGATCCTTTTTTTACTAACTCAAAGAATCAAATTTATCAGATTAGTTTTTACAATTTTAATGTAAACCACTTATGCTGATATTTCCTGCTGAGTTTACTTGACATTTTTTAAGTTTCTCAAAGATGCTCCTTAAAAATTTTCTTTTGTGACTGGGCACTGTGGCTCATGTCTGTAATCCCAGCACTTTGGGAGGCGGAGGCGGGCGGGTCACGAGGTCGGGAGTTCGAGACTAACCTAACCAACATGGTGAAACCCCGTCTCTACTAAAAATACAAAAATGAGCCTGGTGTGGTGGCGCGTGCCTGTAGTCCCAGCTGCTCCAGAGGCTGAGGCGGTAGAATTGCTTGAACCTGGGAGGTGGAGGTTGCTGTGAGCCATGTGCCATTGGACTTCATCCAGCCTGGATGGAGCAAGACTCCGTCTCAAAAAAAAATTTTTTTTTTAATTTTTATTTTTTTCTACCCTTTTTTTTTTTTGAAGACAGTCTCACTGTTGCCCAAATTGGAGTGCAGTGGTGCAATCTCGGCTCACTTCAAGCTCCGCCTTCTGGGTTCATGCCATTTTCCTGCCTCAGCCTCCCGAGTACCTGGGACTACTGGCGCCTGCCGCCACGCCCGGCTAATTTTTTGTATTTTTATTAGAGACGGGGTTTCACAGTGTTAGCCAGATGGTCTTGATCTCCTAACCTCGTGATCCGCCCGCCTCGGCCTCCCAAAGTGCTGGGATTACAGGGGTGAGCCACGGCGCCCAGCCTTTTTTTACCCGTTTGTAAACAATGTTTGATAAGTTTCCATTTTTTGATAACTAATTTTCATGCTGGACATAGCATAATTGAATTGGAATCCAGTTAACTATTTGGATTTGAAGTATGAAATAGGGCTCACATTAAGGAGTAGAGTAGGTGTTTTATTTAAGACTAGGTAATACTCTTCATTTATTTATTTATTTATTTACAGATGGAGTCTCGCTCTGTCACCCAGGTTGGAGTGCAGTGGTACGATCTTCGCCCACTGCAACCTCTGCCCACCGGGTTCAAGTGATGCTCCTGCCTCAGCCTCCTGAGTAGCTGGGGTTACAGGCGCCTGCCAACACACTTGGCTAATTTTTGTAATTTTAGTAGAGATGGGATTTCACCATGTTGGCCATATTGGTCTTGGAACTCCTGACCTCAGGTGATCCACCTGCCTTGGCCTCCCAAAGTGCTGGGATTACTTGCGTGAGCCACCACACCTGGCTTCTTCTTTTATTTTTATTTTCTTGAGACAGTCTTTCTCTGTCGCCCAGGCTGGAGTGCTGTGGTGCCTTGGCTCACTGTAACCTCTGCCTCCCTGGCTTAAGTGATTCTTGTGCCTCAACTTCCCAAGCAGCTGGGACTACAGGCATGCATCACCACGCCCAGCTAATTTTTTTTTTTTTTCGAGACAGAGTCTTGCTCTCTTGCCCAGGCTGGAGTGCAGTGGCGCTATCTCGGCTCACTGCAAACTCCGCCTCCCAGGTTCACGCCATTCTCCTGCCTCAGCCTCCCGAGTAGCTGGGACTACAGGCGTGTGCTGTCAAGCCTGGCTAATTTTTTGTATTTTTAGTAGAGACAAGGTTTCACCGTGTTAGCCAGGATGGTCTTGATCTCCTGACCTCGTGTGTGATCTGCCCGCCTCGGCCTCCCAAAGTGCTGGGATTACAGGCGTGAGTCACCGCGCCCGGCTAATTTTTTTTTTTTTTTTTTTTTTTGAGGTGGAGTTTCATTCTGTCACCCAGGCCAGAGTGCAGTGGTGTGATCTCTGTTCACTGCAATCTCCGCCTACTGGGTTCAAGCGATTAGCCTGCCACCGTGCTCTGATAATTTTCGTATTTTTTGTAGAGACAGGATTTTGTCATTTTGGCCATGCTGGTTTTGAACTCCTGACCTCAGGTGATCCACCTGCTTCGGCCTCCCAAAGTGCTGAGATTACAGTTGTGGACCACTGTGCCTGGCCTTTTTTTTCCCCCTGAAACATGGAGTATATGTTTAAAAAAAAAAAAAGTTGGAGCCTGGCTCCATGGCTCCTGCGTGTAATTCCAACGCTTTGGGAGGCTGAGGTGGAAGGATTTCTTGAGCAGGAGTTCGAGACCAGCGTGGGCAATATAGTGAGACCCTGTCTCTATAAAAAAAATGTAAAAATTAACTGGGCATGATTGCATGTACCCAGAGTCCCATCTACTTGTGAGGCTGAGGTGGGAGGATTGCTTGAGGCCACAGTGAGCTATGATTGTGCCATTGCACTCCAGCTTGGGTGACAGAGTGAGACCCTATCTCCATAAATAATAGGATCATACTTTGCATACTTGCTGATTTTTATTGAAAAATACAGCATAGTTTGGGTGTGGTGGCTCATGCCTGTAATCCCAGCACTTTGGGAGGCCGAGGCAGGTGAATCACTTGAGCCCAGGAGTTGGAGAGCAGCTTAGACAACGTGGCAAAACCCTGTCTTTACTAAAAATACAAAAATTAGCTGGGCATGGTGTGCTTGTAGTCCCAGCTACTCAGGAGGCTGAGGTTGGAGGATTGCTTAAGCCTGGGTGGTTGAGACTGCAGTGGGCTGTGATTGTGCCACTGCACTTCAGCCTGGGTGACAGACCCTGTCTCAGAAGAAAAACCCAAAAAACAGCATACATACCGTAGATGATATATGAGGCATAAAAACATGTAGAGTTGTCATTGTATAACGTAGAAGGTGGTTGGGGGTAAACACATATGTAGAGTTGTTTTTTTTGGAGACAGGGTCTTGCTTTGTCGCCCAGGATGGAGTGTCTTGGCATGATCATGGCTCACTGCAGCCTCTATCTCCCAGGATTAAGGCATCCTCCCACCTCAGCCTCCTGAGTAGCTTGGACCACAGGGATGCATCACCATGCTCAGCTAATTTTTCTTTTTGTAGAGAGGAGTCTTGCTATGTTGCCCAGGCTGGTCTCTTAGGCTAAAGTGATCCTCCTGCCTTGGCCTACTAAAGTGCTGAGATTACAGGTGTGAGCTTAATGCCTGGCCCCATATGTAAAATTAAAAAAAAAAAGTAAAATGAACAACCAAGAAATAGGACATTACTGCTACCTGGAAGTCTCCTGTGTATGCCAGCTCCCAAGGCATTTCTTTTCGCTTTCCTTGAGGTAACCATTACCCTACATTATAGGTTTACTATTCCTTTGTGTTGTTGTTTTAAAATAGAGACAAGGTCTAGCTATGTTGCCCAGGGTGGTCTTGAACTCCTGGACTCAAGTGATCCTCCTGCTTGGCCTCCCAGAGTCCTGGGATTATAGGTATGAGTCACTCTGCAGGTTCTACTGTTCCTTTTTTTTTTTTTTTTTTTGAGACGGAGTCTTGCACTATCGCCTGGGCTGAAGTGTAGTGGCCCGATCTCAGCTCACTGCAACCTCCACCTCCCAAGTTCAAGCGAATCTCCAGCCTCCATCTCCCGAGTAGCTCGGATTATAGGTGCCCGCCACCACGCCTGGCTAATTTTTTGTATTTTTGGTAGAGATGGGGTTTCACTGTGTTGGCCAGGCTGGTCTCAAACTCCTGACCTCATGATCCGCCCACCTGAGCTCCCAAAGTGCTGGGATTACAGGCATGAGCCACCACCCCAGCCTACTGTTACTTTTTTACAATAATTTTACCTTATATGTATATCCGTAAGCAACATATGGTTTAATAGTGCCCATTTTCAGTCTTATTCTCAATGTAAGAATTGTATGATTCTTCTGATGCTTGATTCTTTCACTCTTACATGCTTGAGATTTATCCATGTTGATTTCTTTTTTTTGAGATAGGGTCTCAGTCTGTTGCTCAGGCTGGAGTGCAGTGGCTCGATCCTGGCTCACTGCAACATTCACCTCCCGGGTTCAAGCGATTCTCCTTCCTCAGCCTCCCAAATAGCTGGGACTACAGGTGCCCGCCACCATGCCTGGCTAATTTTTGTATTTTTTGGTAGAGACGGGGTTTCCTTGTGTTAGCCAGGCTGGTCTCGAACTCCTGACCTCAGGTGATCTGCCTGCTTCGGCCTCCCAAAGTTCTGGTATTACAGGCATGAGCCACTGCACCCAGCCCCCATGTAGATTTCTTTTTTCTTTGTTTTGTTTTATAAGACGGAGTCTTGCTCTTTTGCCCAGGCTGGAATGCCAGTGGCACGATCTCGGCTTCTCAGCTCACTGCAGCCTCTGCCTCCTTGGTTCAAGCAATTCTCCTGCCTCGGCCTCCCGAGTAGCTGGGATTACAGACACCTGCCACCATGCTCAGCTAATTTTTGTATTCTTAGTAGAGACGGGGTTTCACCATGTTGGCCAGGCTGGTCATGGACTCTTGTTTGTTTTTTTTTTTTTTTTTGAGATGGAGTTTGCTCTTGTTGCCCAGGCTAGAGTGCAATGGTGCGATCTTGGCTCACTGCAACCTCTGCCTCCTGGGTTCAAGCAATTCTCCTGCCTCAGCCTCCCAAGTAGCTGGGATTACAGGCAGGCACCACCATGCCTGGCTAATTTTTTTTTTTTTTTTTGCATTTTTAGTAGAGCTGTGGGTTCACTATGTTGGGCAGGCTGGTCTCGAACTCCTGACCTCCAGCGATCTGCCCACCTCGGCCTCCCAAAGTGCCGGGATTACAGGTGTTAGCCATCGTGCCCGGCCCGTTGATTTCTTATAGTAGTATGAGGTTACATTGTAAGGATGTGCCATATGTTGTCTATTTCATTGTTGATGGATATTTGTCTCATTTCCAGTTTTTTGAGATTACCAATTTTACTTGTCCTCATGTGGACATTTGCCACCCTGCCCACAACAAACAAAGTCCATTTTCTCAAGACTACATAACTGAGAGTGGAATTTTTGGTTTGTATGTAGGGTATGTGTAACTTTTACTAAGTAATGCTAAAGTGTTTTCCACATGTTGCACAGTTGTTCTCAGGCTTGTCAGCTGAACCACAGAACACAGAAAGTTGAGTTACTATTTTCTCAAATCTGTCAAGGATGGTACATAATGAATTTCATTCTAGGTGTCTGGAAAAAGTTCAGCTTATACACAGAGTGGATGCCCTAAGAATTGGGAATTCATTCTCAAAGACTGAGTGGTTTAAGAGTTCTACATCCTTGCCAACATTTTATGTTGCCTTTTTAGTTTTAGCCAATTGTAGTGGGATGTTCTAGATATATCTTTCATGAACGCCACATAGCTGGATTTTGCTTTGTTAAGTTAGCAACTTGCTAACTTCTTTTTAATTAATTAGAGTGTATCGCTATGTTGGCTGGGCTGGTCGTGAACTCCTGGGCTCAAGTGATCTTCCCACCTCACCCGCACAAAGTGCTGGGATTGTAGGAGTGAGCCATCAGCTAACCTCTTTAACTAGAGCATGGAGACCATTCATATCTGTTGTAATTACAGATATTTTGGATATATGTCTGCCATTATATTTAGTCTTCTAGTTGGCTGGCCTGTGTGTTTGTTTTCTGTCCCTTTTTTTTTTTTTTTTTTTTTTTTGAGACAGAGTCTCATTCTGTCACCCAGGCTGGAGTGCAATGGCGTGGGCTCGGCTCACTGCAACCTCCGCCTCCCGAGTTTAAGGGATTCTTCTGCCCCAGCCTCCCTAGTAGCTGGGACTACAGGCACGTGCCACCACACCTGGCTAATTTTTTTTTTTTTTTGAGACGGAGTCTAGCCCTTGTCGCCCAGGCTAGTGTGCAATGGCGTGATCTTGGCTCAACGCAACCTCCGCCTCCTGGGTTCAAGTGATTCTCCTGCCTCAGCCTCCCAAGTAGCTGGGATTACAGGCATGTGCCACCATGCCCCCGGCTAATTTTGTACTTTTAGTAGAGTCGGGGTTTCTCCATGTTCATCAGGCTGGTCTTGAACTCCCGACCTCAGGTGATCGCCCGCCTCGGCCTCCCAAAGTGCTGGGATTACAGACGTGAGCCACCGTGTGCGGCTTGTATTTTTTTTTTTTTTTTTTTTTTTTTAGTATTTATTGATCATTCTTGGGTGTTTCTCGCAGAGGGGGATTTGGCAGGGTCATAGGACAATAGTGGAGGGAAGGTCAGCAGATAAACAAGTGAACAAGGGTCTCTGGTTTTCCTAGGCAGAGGTCCCTGCGGCCTTCTGCAGTGTTTGTGTCCCTGGGTACTTGAGATTAGGGAGTGGTGATGACTCTTAACTGCCTTCAAGCATCTGTTTAACAAAGCACATCTTGCACCGCCCTTTATCCATTTAACCCTGAGTGGACACAGCACATGTTTCAGAGAGCACGGGGTTGGGGGTAAGGTTATAGATTAACAGCATCCCAAGGCAGAAGAATTTTTCTTAGTACAGAACAAAATGGAGTCTCCTATGTCTACTTCTTTCTACACAAACACAGCAACAATCTGATTTCTCTATCTTTTCCCCACATTTCCCCCTTTTCTATTCGACAAAACCGCCATCGTCATCATGGCCCGTTCTCAATGAGCAGTTGGGTACACCTCCCAGATGAGGTGGCGGCCGGGCAGAGGGGCTCCTCACTTCCCAGAAGGGGTGGCCGGGCAGAGGCGCCCCCCCCACCTCTCGGACGGGGCGGCGGCCAGGCGGAGGCGCCCCCCAACTCCCCAACGGGGCGGCTGGCCGGGCGGGGGCTGCCCCCCACCTCCCTCCCGGAAGGGGCGGCTGGCTGGGCGGAGGCTGCCCCCCACCTCCCAGACGGGCCGGCTGCCGGGCGGAGACGCTCCTCACTTCCCAGACGGGGTGGCTGCCGGGCGGAGGGGCTCCTCACTTCCCAGACGGGGCGGCTGCTGGGCGGAGGGGCTCCTCACTTCTCAGACGGGTCGGCCGGGCAGAGACGCTCCTCAACTCCCAGACGGGGTCGCGGTCGGGCAGAGGCGCTCCTCACATCCCAGATGGGGTGGCGGGGCAGAGGCGCTCCCCACATCCCAGACGGGGTGGCGGGGCAGAGGCGCTCCCCACATCTCAGACGATGGGCGGCCGGGCAGAGACGCTCCTCACTTCCTAGACGGGATGGCGGCCAGGAAGAGGCGCTCCTCACTTCCCAGTCTGGGCAGCAGGGCAGAGGGGCTCCTCACATCCCAGACGATGGGCGGCCAGGCAGAGATGCTCCTCACTTCCCAGACGGGGTGGCGGCCGGGCAGAGGCTACAATCTCGGCACTTTGGGAGGCCAAGGCAGGCGGGTGGGAGGTGGAGGTTGTAGTGAGCCGAGATCACGCCACTGCACTCCAGCCTGGGCAACATTGAGCACTGAGTTAATGAGACACTGTCTGCAATCCCGGCACCTCAGGAGGCCTAGGCTGGCAGATCACTCGCGGTTAGCAGCTGGAGACCAGCCCGGCCAACACAGCGAAACCCCGTCTCCACCAAAAAAATACGAAAACCAGTCAGGTGTGGCGGCGCGCGCCTGCAATCGCAGGCACTTGGCAGGCCGAGGCAGGAGAATCAGGCAGGGAGGTTGCAGTGAGCCGAGATGGCGGCAGTACAGTCCAGCTTTGGCTTGGCATCAGAGGGAGACCGTGGGGAGAGGGGAGGCTTGTATTTTTAATAGAGACAGAGTTTCACTGTGTTGGCCAGGCTGGTCTTGAACTCCTGACCTCATGATCTTCCCACCTCAGCCTCTCAAAGTGCTGGGATTACAGGCAGGAGCCACCGCGCCCGACCTTTTTTTTTTTTTTTTTTTTTTTTTCCCAGGCTGGAGTGCAGTGGTGCAATCCTAGCTCATTGCAGCCTTGAACTCCCCGTGCTCAGATGATCCACCTTAGCCTCTTGGGTACCTGGGACTACAGATTTGTGCCACCGTGCCTAGCTAATTTTTTTTTTTTTTTTTTTTTTGTAGAGACAGGGTTTCATCATATTGCACAGGCTGGTCTTCAACTTCTGGGTTCAAGTGCTCACCTCAGCCTCCCAAAGTGTTGGGATTATAGGCGTGAGCAGCTGCTGTAGGCCCACAAAATGTATTTTTATAGCCTCTTTCCCATCCAGTCGGGGTTTCTGTATTTACATATTGTCACTGAAGTATTTTTATAGCCTCTTTTCCCATCCAGTCAGGGTTTGTGTATTTACATATTGTGACTGAAGTACACTACTGAATGATAATCCTTTTCTCAGATGATTATTTTCTCAATTATTTATCAGATATAATTGCCAGTCAGGTCATCTGATAAGCAAGAAATAACTACTGCTGTTACTTAGTTCAGGTAATTTTCATCAATGCTAAGTAAATTGCTAATTTATTGTAGGATAAAATGTAACTTTTTGGGGCTTTTGGAAAGTCTAAAAATATGTATTCCATGACTGCTATGCCAACCCTAAGTTTTGAAACACTGATGAAAGTTTCCTTTGATTTGTGGGAGTGAGGCAACAATTACATTAGTAAAAACTTAAGGTAGTATATGGGCTGGGCGCAGTGGCTCTCTCCTGTAATCCCAGCTCTTTGGGAGACCAAGGCAAGTGGATCACTTGAGGTCAGGTGTTTGAGACCAGCCTGGCCAACATGGTGAAACCCTACCTCTACCAAAAAATACAAAAATTAGCTGTGTGTGGGCTGGGCGCGGTGGCTCACGCCTGTAATCCCAGCACTTTGGGGGGCCGAGGCGGGCGGATCACGAGGTCAGGAGATCGAGACCATCCTGGCTAAAACGGTGAAACCCCGTCTCTATTAAAAATACAAAAAATTAGCCAGGCATGGTGGCACGCCTCTGTAATCTCAGCTAATCCGGAGGCCGAGGCAGGAGAATCGCTTGATCCCAGAAGTCGGAGGTTGCAGCGAGCCGAGATTGTGCCACTGCACTCCAGCCCGGGTGATAGAGCGAGACTCTCTCAAAAAAAAAAAAAAAAAAAAAAAAAATAGCTGGGTGTGGTGGCACATGCCTATAGTCCCACCTACTTGGGAGGCTGAGGCGGGAGAATTGCTGGAACCCTGGAGGGGAGGCAGAGGTCAGTGAGGTACCTGAGATCGCACCACTGTGCTCCAGCCTGGGCAGACAGAATGAGACCTTGTCTCAAAAAAAAAAAAAAAAAAAAGAGAAAAACTTAAGGTAGTATATTCTCTGTTATTTCTGTGAATGCTAAGTTTACATTACTGCAGATTAGGCCTGAATGATGGTTCTCCCTGCGCAAATGGTATATGCTACTCTATAGGTGTTCACTTGAACGAATATTTATTGCTGCCAGTTGTCAACAATGTTAGATGCTAGAATACAGATGAATAATGTAGGTTCCTGATCTTCAGTTGCTTACATGTTGGTGAGCAGACACACACAGTTTAAATGTGTGTATAGGATTCCAGGGTACTGCTGCCTGTGACAGAGAAAAGCATTGTTGAATTGAGCTTGAGTATTTGGCAAGGATTCCTTGAGCTGGGGAGGCTGAGCCTTAGTTTTCTTAGATTCTTCCTATAGAATCAAGTATCAAGGCTGGGCACGGTGGCTCACGCCTGTAATCCCAGCACTTTGGGAGGCCGAGACGGGCAGATCACCTGAGGTCGGGAGTTTGAGACCATCCTGACCAACATGGAGAAACCCCATCTCTATTAAATTATAAAAAATTATCCGGGCATGGCGGTGGGTGCCTGTAACCCCAGCTACTTGGGAGGCTGAGGAGGAGGAGAATCGTTTGAACCTGGGAGGCGGAGGTTGCAGTGAGCCAAGATCATGCCATTGTACTCCAGCCTGGGCAACAAGAGTGAAACTCCGTCTCAAAAAAAAAAAAAGAAAAAAGTATCAAATTCCTGAAGTTACAATTAAATTGTTAAAACACTTTAAATGTTGTATTCAGAGTTTAGTTTTATTAGAATTTGCTGTTATTTTGCTTTGTTCTATTTTGTTTGAGACAGGGTCTTACTCTGTCACTCAGGAATGCAGTGATGCGATCAGGCTCACTGCAGCCTTAACCTACCTGGGCTCAAGCGATTTCCCCCACTCAAAAAAAAAAAGAGAGAATGTGCAGTATGTCCTTGAGTAAACATGCCTGTGGAACGTGAAGGCAAAAAGGCAGGGACGATTTAGGAGAATACCAAGGCTGGTTTGACCAAGTGTAGGGATTGGAAGGAATAAACAGTTTGCATTTTATTGAGGAGTTGATGGTTTGTGAACAGAAGTTGACAGTTTTTGTTGATAGTGTTTGTTTGTTTCTTTCTTTATTTTTGAGATGGAGTCTCGCTTTATATCCCAGGTTGGAGTACAGTAGCACGATCTCGACTCACTGCAACTTCTGCCTCCCAGGTTCAAGTGATTCTTGTGCCTCAGCCTCCTCTGAGTAGTTGGAATTACAGGCACGTGCCACCACAAACCTGGCTAATCTTTATATATATATATTTTTTTTTTTTTTTAGATGGAGTCTCGCTCTGTCACCCAGACTGGAGTGCAGTGGCGCGATCTCGGCTCACTGCAACCTCCACCTCCCAGGTTCAAGCTGTTCTCCCACCTCAGCCTCCCAAGTAGCTGGGATTACAGGCACCCGCCATCATGCCCGGCTAATTTTTGTACTTTTGTAGAGATGGGGTTCCACCATGTTGGCCAGGCTGGTCTTGAACTCCTGACCTCAGGTGATCCGCCCGCCTCGGCCTCCCAAAGTGCTGGGATTACAGGCGTGAGCCACCGCGCCTAGCCGTATGAAATGTTTTGAATGACAGAGACAGATGAAAGAATGAGAACAGAAGAAAGATTTGACAATTAGGAGACCAGTGGTGACCTAGGGAGTAGCATTTTTCCTACTGTTAGAGTGATAGGGTGATGGAAACCAGAATACAGAAGGTTAAGGAGATGTTTAGTGAGGAAATGGAGGCAGTGAATGTATTCATTTTGTGAAATACAGTTTATGTAGTTGTTGCTTACAAGATAGAACATGAAGTTTCAGGAGTGCTTGGAAGGTAATTTTTCTGAGCCTTTGTTTTTGAGAGTAATCCGGATGTAGAGAACAGTTGAGCGATTCGTTTTTTTTTTGTTTGTTTGTTTGTTTTGAGATTGAGTCTCGCTGTTTCCCAGGCTGGAGTGCAGTGGCGTGATCTTGACTCACTGCAACCTCCGCCTCCCAGGTTGAAGCAATTCTCCTCCCTCAGCCTCTCCAGTAGCTGGGACTATAGGCTCATGCCACTACACCTGGCTAATTTTTGTATTTTTAGTAGAAACAGGGTTTCACCATGTTAGCCAGGATGGTCTTGATCTCCTGACCTCCTGATCCGCCCGCCTGTGCCTCCCAAAGTGCTGGGATTACAGGCGTGAGCCACTGTGCCCAGCCAGTTGAGTGGTTCTTTAGACATATAAGGATGTGGGGTATTTCTCATTAGTGTAGTGTTTTCTTTATTAAGGAATTTTGTATTTGGATTAAAACTGGACCAGATACTTATGTGGCAGGTGTGTTAATGTTTAAATGGATGGCATGACTTTGTTTTGATAGATACATTCTTTAGGTAACAGACATTTTTAAGAAAGTTGCTTTTGGCATGAGTGATTAAGTAATAAGGATGTCAGTAAAATAAAAGCAATATACTTTTACTAAAAAAAGAAAAACCAGGACTTGATATCCTGGATTCATGAGGAAAGTTGAAGAACTATAATGAAAAACTTCTGAAGTATTAAATCAGTATTTATATTTTAGGCTTGTAATAAAACCTAGAGATGATGTAACTGTCTCAAAATGACTTAATAGGTATGTTGAACTTTTATAAATCACTTGTGAAATAAATTGTGAATTTGTGACATTTGAGTGCCAAATGTTGAAATGGTTCCTGCAGAGATGTGAATAATGAGAACTATTATTTTAGGTCATCTGGTCTTCATTAAGAATTGATTTGAAGCCGGGCGTGGTGGGTCATGCCTTTAATCCTAGGACTTTGGGAGGCTGAGGCAGGTGGATCACCTGAGGTCAGGAGTTCAAGAACAGCTTGGCCAACATGACGAAACCCCGTCTCTACTAAAAATGCAAAAATTAGCCAGGCATGGTGGTGGGTGCCTGTAATCCCAGCTACTTGGGAGGCTGAGACAGGAGAATTGCTTGAACCTGGGAGGCAGAGGTTGCAGTGAGCTGAGATCATGCCATTGCACTCCAGCCTGGGCAACAGAGTGAAACTCTGTTTAAAAAAAAAAAAAAAGAATTGATTTGATGCTTGACTGTAGTCGCAGCTGCTTGGGAGGTTGAGGTGGGAGAATCTCTTGAGCGCAGGAGGCAGAGGTTGCAGGGAACCGAGATTGCACCACTGCGCTTCAGCCTGGGCGAAAGAGTCAGACCCTGTCTCAGGAGAAAAAAAAAAAGTATACAATTAAGTTATTGACTATAGTTACCCTATTGTGCTATCAAATAGTGGGTCTTATTATTTTTGTACTCAATAACCATCCCTACCTCCCCCAAGTCCCCCACTACCCTTCCTAGCCTCTGATACTCCATCCTTCTACTGTCTGTGATTATGAGTTCAATTGTTTTGATTTTTAGTTCCCACAACTAAGTGAGAACATGTGATGTTTGTCTTTCTGTTTCTGGGTTATTTCACTTAACATAATGATCTCCGGTTCTATCCACGTTGTTTCAAATGACAGGATCTCATTCTTTTTTATGGCTAAGTAGTACTCTGTTGTGTATAAGTACCATGTTTTATCTATTCACCTGTTGATAGACACTTAGGTTACTTCCAAATCTTAGCTATTGTAAACAGTGCTGCAACAAACAGGAATGCAGATATTTCTTCAATATACTGATTTCCCTTATTTTGGGTATATACCCAGCAGTGAGATTGCTGGATCATATGGTAGCTCAATTTTTAGTTTTTTCCAGAACCTCCAAATTGTTTTCCATAGTAGTTGTACTGTGTGTTGAGTACTGTCATGGTTTTTCTGTTCTTGAAAATAAGAAGCAAGAGTTAAACATTGTGGCTTAGAGTATCAAGAAGCAAAGATGTTGATTTTTTTTTTTTTTTTTTTGAAGACAGGGTCTTGCTCTGTTGCCCAGGCCAGAGTACAGTGGCGGCTCACTGCAACCTCTGCCTCCTAGGTTCAAGTGATTCTCGTGCCCCAGCCTCTGGACTAGCTGAGATTACAGGTGCGTGCAACCACGCCCAGCTAATTTTTGTATTGTTTGTAAAGATAGGGTTTTGACATGTTGGCCAGGCTGATCTCAAACTCCGGACCTCAAGTGATCCGCCTGCCTCGGCCTCCCAAAGTGCTGGAATTACAGGCATGAGCCACCACACCCAGCCTAAGAAACAAAGATTCTTAATCTCTGTGACTGGTTGTGGTCATCATGACTGTAGTAGAAGAAAAATTGTTTTATTGAACTTGTATCCCTAAGAAAGCTGAGGTAGGTTAGCCTATATTTTGATATCTTCCTTCCTTCTGACTGGCCAAAGGGGGAAGGTGGTTTTCCTCCTTTATCCCCTTTCCTGTGAAGCCTTGGGACAGAGTAACTAGTGGGAAGTTAATCTTACTTTGGTGGATGCAGAGCTGGAGACTCAGGGCAGAGGGAGTGTGAGTGTATAAAGACAGAAATATGCCTGAGTCTTTATCACAGACCAAGGTTATTGTGCTGTTGGTATTAAATCTATGAGTTAATTTGTTCTTACTTTCATCCTTTCAAGAGAGGATAGATGGGGATTCCTGCAGCTGAACATGGTTGGCGAGAGAGCCGTGTTTAGCTACGTTTAGGGATAGAATTTGACATGGATGAGGATGTTAAGTTGGCAACTTATTAGCACTTTTTAAATTTTTTGGTGCTATAGGGTCATGCTATGTTGCCCAGGCTGATCATAGCTCACTGTAGCCTCGAAATCCTGGGATCAAGCAATCCTCCCGCCTCAGCCTCCCAAGGAGGTGGGACCACAGGCATGCGCCACCATACCTGGCTAATTTTTAAATGTATTTTTTAGTAGAGATGAGGAGGTCTTGCTATGTTACCCAGGCTGGTCTCAAACTCCTGGGCTCAAGAAGTCCTCCCTCCTTGGCTTCCCAAGGTGTTGAGATTACGGGCATGAACCACCACACCTGGCCTATTAGCACTTTTTGTTAATACATAGGAAATAGATCCTCTTTTTTTCTTTCTTTTTTTTTTTTTTGGTTTGGGACAGGGTCTTGCTGTGTTGCCCAGGCCAGAGTGCAGTGGTGTGATCTCAGCTCAGTGAAGCCTCAGCCTCATACATTCAAAAATTAGCCGGGCATGGTGGTACATACCTGTGATCCCAGCTACTGGGAGGCTCAGGCAGGATAATCGCTTGAATTTACTTAGGAAAGCAAGTTAAGGCCGGGCGTGGTGGCTCATGCCTGTAATCCCAGCACTTTGGGAGGCCGAGGCGGGTGGATCACCTGAGGTCAGGAGTTTGAGACCAGCCTGGCCAACATGTCGAAACCTGTCTCTACTAAAAATACAAAAATTAGCCAGGTGTGGTGGTGGGCATCTGTAATCCCAGCTACTCAGGAGGCCAAGGCAGGAGAATAGCTTGAACCTGGGAGTAGAGGTTGCAGTAAGCCAAGATTACAGACACATGCCACCACGCCTGGCTAAATTTGTATTTTCAGTAGAGACGGGGTTTTGCCATGTTGGCCAAGCTGGCCTTTTTTTTTTTTTTTTGAGACTGAGTTTTGCTCTTGTAGCACAGGCTGGAGTGCAGTAGTGCGATCTCAACTCACTGCAACCTCCGCTTCCTGGGTTCAAGCGATTCCTCTGCCTCAGCCTCCCGAGTAGTAGGATTACAGGTCCGTGCCACCATGCCCGGCTAAGTTTTGTATGTTTAGTAGAGAGAGGGTTTTACCATTTGGCCAGGCTGGTCTCAAACTCCTGACTCCCACCTTGCCAGGCTAGTCTTGAAACCCTGACCTCAGGTGATCCGCCTGCCTTGGCCTCCCAAAATGCTGGGATTATAGGCAGGAGCTACAGTGCCTAGCCCTTATTTTATTTTTATTTTTAGTTTAATTTTTTTGAGATGAGTCTTGCTCTGTCGCCCAGGTTGGAGTGCAGTGGTGCGATCTTGGCTCACTGCAAGCTCCGCCTCCTGGGTTCATGCCATTCTCCTGCCTCAGCCTTCTGGGTTGTTGGGACTACAGGCGCCTGCCACTATGCCCAGCTAATTTTTTAAAAATACTTTTAGTAGAGACGGGGTTTCACCATGTTAGTCAGGATGGTCTCGATCACCTGACCTTGTGATCCATGCGCCCGGGCCTCCCAAAGTGCTGGGATTACAGGCGTGAGCCACCGTGCCTGGCCCCTTATTTTATTTTTGAAACAGGGTCTCACTCATCTCTTGGGCACTGTACTAGGAGTGCACTGGCGTGATCACGGCATACTGCAGCCTTGACCTCCCAGGCTCAAGTGATCCTCCCATTTCAGCCTTCTGAGTAGCTGGGACCACAGGTGTGCTCTGTCATACCGGGCCAGTTTTTTTGTTTGTTTGTTTGTTTTTGAGATGGAATCTGGCTCTGTCGCCCAGGCTGGAGTGCAGTGGCGCGATCTCGGCTCACTGCAACCTCCGCCTTCCGGGTTCACGCCATTCTCCTGCCTCAGCCTCCCAAGTAGCTGGGACTACAGGTGCCCGCCACCACGCCTGGCTAATTTTGTTTTTGTATTTTTAGTAGAGATGGGGTATCACCGTGTTAGCCAGGGTGGTCTCGATCTCCTGACCCCGTGATCTGCCCGCCTCAGCCTCCCAAAGTGCTGGGATTACAGGCGTGAGCCACCGCGCCCGGCTCACCTGGCTGATTTTTAAACTTTTTTATAGAGACGGGTTCTCTCTATGTTGCCCAGGCTGGTCTTGAACTCCTGGCCCCACACTGCTCTCCTGCCACAGCCTCTCAAAGTGTTGGGATTACAGGCGTGAGCCACCGTGCCTGGCCTATGTATGTATTTCTTTCTTTTTTTTTTTTTCGAGATGGAGTCTTGCTCTGTCACCCAGGCTGGAGTGCAGTGGCGCAATCTCAGCTCACTGCAACCTCTGCCTCTCGGGTTCAAGCAGTTCTCTTGCCTCAGCCTCCCGAGTAGCTGGGATTACAGGTGCCCCCACCACAGCGGCCTAATTTTTGTATTTTTAGTAGAGATGGGTTTTCACCATGTTGGCCAGGCTGATCTCGAACTCCTGATCTCATGATCCACCTGCCTTGGCCTCCCAAAGTGCTGGGTTTACAGGTGTGAGCCACCGTGCCTGGCCGCATTTCTTCCTTCTTCTTCTTTTTATTTTTTTAAATAGAGACAAGGTCTTGCTATGCTGCCCAGGCTGGTCTCGAACTCCTGAGCCCAAGTGGTCCTCCCACCATGGCCTCCCAAAGTATTGGGATTACAGGTGTGAACCACTGGGCCTGGCCTATGTATACATTTTCTTTTTTTTTTTTGAGAAGTTTTGCTCTTGTTGTCCAGGCTGGAGTGCCGTGGCATAATCTTGGCTCATTGCAACCTCCGCCTCCTGGGTTCAAGCAATTCTCCTGCCTCAGCCTCCCGAGTAGCTGGGATTATAGGTACCCGCCACCACATCCAGCTAATTTTTTATATTTTTAGTAGAGACAAGGTTTCACCATGTTGGCCAGGCTGGTCTCAAACTCTTGACCTTCTGGTGATCCACCCTCCTCAGCCTCCCAAAGTGCTGGATTACAGGTCTGAGCCACTACGCCTGGCCCTATGTACACATTTTTAGGTGAACGTGTTTTCAGTTCTCTTGGGTGCATACCCAGGAGTAGGATTGCTTGGTCTTTATCATAACTGTTTAATTTCTTTAGGAACTGTTAAGAGTTTTTTTTATTTTTTAGGAGATGTGGTCTTACTCTATTGCCCAGTCTGGAGTGCGGTGACATGATCATAGCACACTGCAGCCTTGATCTCCTAAGCTCAAGGATTCCTACCACCTCAACCTCCTGAATGGGTGGGATTCCAGGTGTGCGCCACCAAGCGTGGCTAATTAAAAAAAAATTTATTGTATAGACGAGGACTTGCCACGCCGCCCAGGTTTGCTCACCTCCTGCTGTGCGGCCCAGTTCCTAATTACCCCAGTCTGCAGCCTGGGAGTTGGGGATTGGGGATCCCTGCTTTATAGTATAGGCTTTTTTGCTTTTTTTTTTCCTTTTTGTAGGAGAGAGAGAACTGTTATAAGTAGTGGTGAAGACTGGTTATGAATAATTACATGCTTTTCAAGAGATTCCAGGGTGAAGAGTCCTGGTTACCTGCTGGGCAAAAGACAAGGTTTAAGGCTGGTCGCAGTGGCTCGTGTCTGTAATCCCAGCACTTTAAGAGCCTGAGGTAGGCGGATCACTTAAGGTCAGGAGTTTGAGACCAGCCTGGCCAACATGGTGAACCCCATCTCTACCAAAAATACAAAAAATTAGCCGGGCGTGGTGGCGGGTGCCTGTAATCCCAGCTACTTGGGAGGCTGAGGCAGGCTAATCGCTTGAACCCAAGAGGCAGAGGTTGCAGTGAGCCAGTGTTGCGCCACTGCACTCCAGCCTGGGTGACAACAGTGAAACTCCATCTCAAAATAAATAAATAAATAAATAAATAAATAAATAAGACAGGGTTTACAGCTGAATTAGCAGGATAGGAATAGGACAGATGTGTGCAAACAGCTATGGGCAATTAATTCCCTTCGTGGCCTTAGGTAACCTGAAAGAGAATTGTGACGATATCAAATAAATTTTGATGTCCTATAGTGTTTGAGTTCACCAGCACTCATCCTTTCCATGGGCAGGTTATATCCATGGAACAGCAGATAACTTTGTGATTCTTCTGTCAGCGAAGTGTGGGTGTAGGGGAGTTCAACCTTGTCCATCAGCTGCTAGAGGCCTGACCCTGCCCTTAACAGCTGCAGAGAATAAAAGTATCAGCTTGTTCAGCTCCTGGCATGCAGGGTACAAGCAGTTGAGCTGCATGGAATTGGATCTCATAGTTGAGTTTCTTGGCACCCTAGATACCTTGTTCTCTCCTCGATTACGGGTGTAGACTTTGTGTTGGTGGCTGTTCTGGGCCTCCTAATTTAGTTGAGATTCTTTTCTTTTCTTTTTTTTTTTTTTGAGATGGAGTCTCGCTCTGTCGCCCAGCCTGGAGTGCAGTGGTGCAATCTCGGCTCACTGCAAGCTCTTGCCTCCCAGGTTCACACCATTCTCCTGCCTCAGTCTCCTGAGTAGCTGGGGCTACAGGTACCCGCCACCACCCCCGGCTAATTTTTTTTTTGTATTTTTAGTAGAGATGGGGTTTCGCCGTGTTAGCCAGGATGGTCTCGATCTCTTGACCTCATGACTCGCCTGCCTTGGCCTCCCAGAGTGCTGGGATTACAGGCGTGAGCCACCGTGCCTGGCCTATTTTTTTCTTTTTTAAATAATAGAAATGGGGTCTCACTGTGTTGCCCAGGCTGGTTTTAAACTCCTGGGCTCAGGCGATCCTCCCCCTCTTGGCCTCCCAGACTGTTGGAGTTACAGGCATGAGCCACTATGCCAGGCCAGATTCTTTTGTTTATTTTTTAATAAATAAATTCAAGTGGATTCTCCTGCCTCAGCCTCCCGATTTGCTGGGATTACAGGCATGCGCCACCACACCTGGCTTATTTTTTGTATTTTTAGTAGGGTAGGGTTTCACTATGTTGGCCAGGCTCATCTCAAACTCCTGACCTCAAGTAATCCTCCCGCCTCAGCCTCCCAAAGTGCCGGGATTACAGGTGTGAGCCACCGTACCTGGCCTTGGCCTCAGATTCTTAATCTGAGCTTTGTCTTCTGCAGGTATGAATAAATGAATTTCCTCTGCAGAGAAGGTTGAGAATATTGACTGTTTTCTTAGTAGAAAATGCGGGAACACAGATTAGAAATTAAACAAAAATAATAGTAGTGGTCACAGAAATATACCAGTATAGAACATATGGGTATCTGAAAGGCTGAGAAGCTAGGTGAGATCTGATCTAGACCAGATCTTTGTCATCAGGCACAAGCTTTGCAGGTGATGCCAACAATAGTTATGCTGTTGTATAGAAGAAGAAGCTGAATTGGGAACTATTATTTATCTGTGACTGAACAGTTAGCCTTACAACATAGCATAATAGTTAAGTGCACACACTGTAGAGCCAAATGTCCTGGGTTTGAATACTGCCTTCACCACTTACTAGCTGTGATTCTCTGTGTATCTTAGTTTCCTCTCTGTAAAATGGGAGTAAAGTAATGTGTACTCTAGAGTGTTGGAAAGATTAGTGACTTAATACTGTACATATAAAGTGCTTAGAATGGTGTCTGGCACATAGTGAATGGTATGTGCTTTCTGCTAGTATTGTCATTACCATTGGTTTTAGATTTTGGGAATGAGTGGACATATATAGATGAAGGACCTGAGACCCATCCTTGCCAGTTTGAGATAGACCCTGCACCACTGGTCTCATGACTCAGTGAACAGCATCTCTGGACATTCTTGATGAAGACTTGCTTCTTTAACATAAATTGTGTATCCTGTTTTTAGTAGTTGAACCCTTAGCCCATTATGTAATTCATGTCATCTGAATTATATTTGGTTTGAAAAAAACATTAGTTTTTCTGTTCCTGAAACGTAAATTTATTTGATGTAGTAGCTGAGATACTTTGCACAAGTGTGTCAACATCCTGGTTTTAGAACTATCTTCCAATCAATGCTTTGTGATGCTGTCTTAAATACATGCAGTGTAAGTATGTAGTTTGGGATTTAATTAACTGTTCAAACTTTTATTAAATGTCTGTTGAAATCTTCCCTCTTCTCAGTATGTTGTCAGCAAGTGTTCTGTAACTTTTCAGAATGATAAAATGTGTCCTTGCTTTTCGTTTAGGGTATATACATGGTTTTTAGAAAAGTTTTTACCCGACCGTGTTTTTTGTATGCCTTAAAGTTAGATGAATTTGTGCTTATGTAAGCTTTAACAGAAATGTTGGTGGTTGTTAAGTCAACCATTTTCAGTTAAGTCTAAACTGAGATCACTTGAAAATGCGGCTGTTTCACTGAGGTATCTTATCTTCAGAAAGGTCCTTGAAAAAAACAGCAGTTAAACCGGGCATGGTAGCTCAGGCCTGTAATCCTAGTTCTTTGGGAGGCCAAGGTGGGAGGATCACCTGAGCCCAGGAGTTTGAGACCAGCCTAGGCAAATATGGGAAGATCGTATGTCTATGAAAAAGAAAACAAAAACGGAAACAAAACTTTTTAGGCAGTTAAAACTTTTTTCCAAAACTATTCCTTTCATAGAGAATATCTTTGTAGTTTTATCAGGTTGGTTTATTCGGCCGGAGACTTTCTTTCCTCATTACATTTAGACAATTTTTTCACTTTAATCGTTAATAGGAAGCTTTATATTATATTTTGCTGATTTTGTTTCTAAAGAAGTTAAAAATGTAGCAGCAGTTCTTTACCTGTGTTAAAATCTATCACATCTTTAATTCACTTTGAGGTGAGATAAATACGGGTTTCAAAATTTGGTTGGATAGATTGAAGTAAGCCTGGTGCTTCCTGCCCCTCAAGAACTTGAGATAGGTATGTTTGAGTTTCTACTGGATTATTTTTAGAATCTTTTGCTCTTGTCTGTTTCTATTCTGAGAATTCTCTTGGAACCTGTTCCAGTGTAGTAGAACTCTTGGGAGTGGAAAGTGATAGATGATGGAACACAAGTGTACACTGAATTCCTATGGTCTGGCAACTGGGTACTTGTTGTAGAAGCATTCCTATTTACTACACACAGCTCCATTTCCCAGAAAAGGAGGACATAGAAGTTCCTCCTAACAGTATGTTAGTTGAAGGTGTTGATTTTTACGGTCTAGTTTCCATGTCTCAGTCATTTTTACAGTTCAGTGGTGGTAACAATTTTTAAGGGTCTTGAAGAATATTTTGGTAACTTACGCTTTTACCTTGATTTAATGGATTCACAATTATCAGAAGTTTTTTTTTTTTGGGGAGACAGAGTCTTGTTCTGTCGCCCCGATTGGAGTGTAGTGGCATGATCTCGGTTCACTGCAACCTCCGCCTCTCGGGTTCAAGTGATTCTCCTGCCTTAGCCTCCCAAATAGCTGGGATTACAGGCTCACGCCACCACACCCAGCTAATTTTTGTAGTTTTAGTAGAGACAGGGTTTCGCCATGTTTGCCAGGCTGGTCTGGAACTCCTGACCGCAAGTGATCCACCCGCCTCAGCCTCCCAAAGTGCTGAGATGACAGGCATTAGCCACCGCGCCTGGCTTTATCAGAAGTTTTATGTAAAATTAATACGGGAAAATTTGTCTGTTGAATCATGCATCCTGTTAAAGTTATTTTCTGACCCGTTTTTCCAGAAGATTTCAGTCACATCCCCCATCCCCTGTGATTGTTGTGCGAAACCTGTTTCATCTCTGGAAATTTTTTTGCTGGACATCTTTAATATTAAGACTTTTTATGAATAGGGAATTAGGTATTATAACATTTCAGTGATAGTGTGGAGAGGCACAACTGACAGAAGACAAGTTAATCTGAATTTATTTAAGCATGCATTCTTGGATGTCCTGAGGCCCTTACAATTATTTTTATTTTTCAAAGAATGTATTTGCTATTTTTTTTTTTTTTGAGACAGAGTTTTGCTGTTGTTTCCCAGGCTGGAGTGCAATGGCGCAATTTTGGCTCACCGCAACCTCTTCCTCCCGGGTTCAAGCGATTCTCCTGCCTCAGCCTCCTGAGTAGCTGGGATTATGGGCATGTGCCCCCACGCCCGGCTAATTTTGTATTTTTAGTAGAGATGGTCGGGCTGGTCTTGAACTCCCGACCTCAGGTGATCCAGCCGGCTCGGCCTCCCAAAATGCTGGGATTACAGGCGTGTGCCACCGCGCCCATCCTTGTATTTGCTATTTTTATTTTTATTTTTTTTTGAGACAGAGTCTTGCTCTGTCACCCGGACTGGAGTGCAATGGCGCCATCTCGGCTCCCTGCAGACTCCGCCTCCCAGGTTCAAGCGATTCTCCTGCGTCAGCCTCCTGGGTAGCTGGGACTACAGGTGCGTGCCACCATGCCCGGCTAATTTTTTGTATTTTTAGTAGAGATGGGGTTTCACCTTATTAGCCAGGATGGCCTCGATCTCCTGACCTCGTGATCCGCCTGCCTTGGCCTCCAAAGTGCTGGGATTACAGGCGTGAGCTACTGCACCCGGCCTGTATTTGCTATTTTTAAGCTAGAAGTCTTTGTAGTAACAATTTATGAATATATAACCCAGAGCAGTAAACCTTAATTAAGAGAAAAACTTTTTCCAAACAATAAAGTAAGCCATGTAGTTTTTATGTTTCACAAAGCAACTATTCTGGTTTAGCCATGCAACCGGGTCATTATTTATAGGCTAATTACGTATTCATTGTGGAATATTAAGAATTGATGATTGGAAGGAGATATAGTCTTAATGTTGATACTGTGAACATGGACCAGTAAAATTTTAATAGTTTGCGTTATAACAAAGAGTTATGGTTTTCTTCCTTGACAAGTGAGGATTCATGTACATTATATCAAAATGTTTGGTTATAGTAGTGAGGCTATAAAGATTAAGTCATTTTTCTGTAAATCAAAAAATTAATGTACATTGAATATGGGTTAAGTATATTTCTTCTGTACATGCAGATTTTTATCACCAGATGGCACTCCTGTATGGAGAAAGTCTCATTTTGTTATTTCACCTAGATTATTTTCTTTCTTTTTTTTTTTTTTTGAGACAGTCTTGCTCTGTTTCCCTGGAGTGGAGTGGTGCGATCTCAGCTCACTGCAACCTCTGCCTCCTGGGTTCAAGCGATTCTTCTGCCTCAGCCTCCCGAGTAGCTGGGACTACAGGCGCGTGCCACCATGCCTGGCTAATTTTTTGTATTTTTGGTAGAGACAGGGTTTCACTGTATTAGCCAGGATGGTCACCATCTCCTGACCTCGTGATCCGCCTGCCTCGGCCTCCCAAAGTGCTGGGATTACAGGCGTGAGCCACTGCACCCAGCCGATTATTTTCATAAATGGGGTCACTGAGAATAAACAGTGAGAAAAAGATCAGATAATCCAATCAACAGAACTGGAAATCTATGAGTAAACTACTCACTTCTTAAAAAGGTTTTGTGGTAGGAATACTACTCAACAAGTTAGCTTTTGATTAGATGCTTAATTCTGTTTTATTCTTTTCTTAAAATGTATTTATTTAAGGAGATAGGTGGCTGGGCATGATGGCTCACACCTGTAATCCCAGCACTTTGGAGGCTGAGGCTGGTGGATCACTTGAGGTCAGGAGTTCAAGACCAGCCTGGCCAACATGGTGAAACCCCATCTCTACTAAAAATACAAAAAAAATCGGCTGGGCACGGTGGCACATACCTATAGTCCCAGCTACTTGGGAGGCTGAGGTGGGAGAATCACTTGAACCTGGAAGGCAGAAGTTGCTGGGCCGAGATCGTGCCACTGCACTCCAGCCTGGGCAACAAAGCCAGACTGTGTCTTAAAAAAAAAAAAAAAAAAAAAAGGGGTCTTGCTGTGTTGCCTAGCCTGGATTTGAACTGTGGGTTAAGTGATCTTCCTGCCTCAGCCTCCTGAATAGCTGGGACTTACAGGTGCATGCCACCTTGCCCAGCTTGGATGCTTCACTTTAGATACTTAAGATGGAATTGCAGAGTATTAGTGCTGAAGGTGATTTTTTTATTTTTATTTTTTTAGATGGTGTCTCGCTCTTGTTGCCCAGGTTGGAGTGCAGTGGTGCAATCTCAGCTCACTGCAACCTCCTCCTCCTGGCTTCAAGCGATTCTCCTGCCTCAGCCTCCTAAGTAGTTGGGATTACAGAGGTGCGCCACCATGCCCGGCTAATTTTTGAATTTTTAATACAGGTAGGGTTTCACCACGTTGGCCAGGCTGGTCTTGAACTCCTGTCATCAGGTGATCTGTCTGCCTTGGCTTCCCAAAGTGTTGGGATTACAGGTGTGAGCCACGGTGCCTGGCCTGAAGGTGATTTTAAAAATAATCCAATGGGGCCGGGCACAGTGGCTCATGTCTGTAATTGCAGCACTTTGGGAGGTTGAGGCGGTTGGATCACCCGAGGTCTGGAGTTCGAAACCAGCCTGACCAACAAGTTGAGACCCCATCTCTACTAAAAATACAAAAATTAGTCGGGCGTGGTGGCAGGCGTCTGTAGTCCCAGCTGCTTGGGAGGCTGAGACAGGAGAATCGCCTGAACCCGGGAGACGGAGGTTGCAGTGAGCTGAGATCACATCACTGCACTCCAGCCTGGGTGATGGAGCGAGCCTCCGTCTCAAAAAAAAAAAAAAAAAAATCAAATGGATTCTTTCTCAAATACAGATATGCCTTACATTTGTTTAAATGCATCACAGTTTTAAAACAGTGTGTTCGTATGCATTTATTCATATCTGAGAGAATGCTTTAAAAATAAATGGAATCATGGCAAAACAATTAACCTTGTTCTCTATAATACAACCAAAATGATAAACCCAAACCAACAAAATTATAAAGTTGTTAAACTGAAAAAGGATGCAAAATGTGTATTCATACTGACTGGAGAGGCAGATTCAAATGCAGTAAAAAGTTTTAAACCAGTGTATTGAGGCTGTGAGAAATTCTAGATAATTGGTTGTTACTATAATGTAAAAGGCAGTACAATAATATGTCTGTGGCCTTTAGCAAGCCAGTTAATGAAGCTGTTGAAAAAATAAGTTAATATTAGTGCAGCTAACACAGAAAAATGCTTGTCAGACCTTTTCTGGCTAAAATAGGTTTCAGGGACACAATTTTCTTTGGTACCTGAATTAGTATGATGAATTATGGTTAGTCTCCTCTATTTTATTTTATGATACACAGATCAAAAATATGTAGAAATGTTGTAATGTCATTTTATTAATCTGAAATGTATAAGATTTACAAATAGTGGAATATCTTTCCACATCATGGGAATGCTTGCTTTTGGGTGTCTAAAACTGACCGTTCTAGAAAACAGAATTCCGGCCGGGTCCTGTAATCCCACCACTTTGGGAGGCCGAGGCGGGTGGATCACGAGGTCAGGAGATCGCGACCATCCTGGCTAACACGGTGAAACCCCGTCTCTACTAAAAAAATACAAAAAAATTAGCTGGGCTTGGTGGCGGGTGCCTGTAGTCCCAGCTACTCAGGAGGCTGAGGCAGGAGAATGGCGTGAACCCAGGAAGCAGAGCTTGCGGTGAGCAGAGATCAAGCCACTGCACTCCAGCTTGGGTGACTGAGCCAGACTCTGTCTCAAAAAAAAAAAAAGGAAACAGAGTTCCATGTATTGTTAAAATCGTTGGCTCTGGGCCGGCTCAGTGGCACACGCCTGTAATCTCAGCACTTTGGGAGGCCAAGGCTGGTGGATCACCTGAGGCCACGAGTTTGAGACCAGCCTGACCAACATGGCCAAACCCCATCTCTACTAAAAATACCAAAAATTAGCCGGGCATGGTGGCGCGTGCCTCTGGTCCCAGTTATTCGGGAGGCTGAGACAGGAGGATTGCTTGAACCCAGAAGGTGGAGGTTGCAGTGAGCCGAGATCGCACTATTCGTTGCACTCCAGCCTGGGTGATGGAGTGAGACTCTGTCTTAAAAAAAAAAAAATCATTGGCTCTGCATTGTTATCATTGGAGATGATAGCTCTATGTGTTATTGCGCTGAAGACCTTCCAGTGGGACAGATGTGGAGATGGAAGACGGTAGTATTGATGATCCTGACCCTGTGTAGGCCTAGACTAATGTGTGTGTTTATCTCTTAGTTTTTTTTTTTTTTTTTTTTTAATAATGGAGTCTCCCTCTGTCACCCAAGCTGGAGTGCAGTGGGCTCACTGCAACCTCCGCCTCCCAGGTTCAAGCAATTATCCTGCTTCAGCCTCCCTAGTAGCTGGGATTACAGGCGTCTGCCACCATGCCTGGCTAATTTTTGTATTTTTAGTAGAGATGGGGTTTCACCATGTTGGTCAGGCTGGTCTCGAACTCCTGACCTCGTGATCTGCCTGCCTCAGCCTCCCAAAGTGTTAGGATTACAGATATGAGCCACCGCGACCGGCTGCACATTTGTTTTTGTTTTGTTTGTTCTAGGAGCTTCGTAAGAGTGGAATTGTTTGCATAAACAGTTTGTTTCTGATTGATGGGTATATTTCCTCTGTGGAGAATTCCATTTTGGAAATTTAACTTTTAAGGCATTGCTACATGTTTTTCTGTGCGTGTGTGTGTGTGTGTGTGTGTGTGTGTGTGTGTGTAGTAAAATGTACATAACATAAAGTTTATTGTAACCATTGTTACATATACAGTTCTCTGACATTAAGTACATTTACATTGTCGTGCAACCACCACTGCCGTCCATCTTCCGAACCTTTGTATCCTCCCCTACAGAAACTCCATACCTGTGATACAGTAACTCCCCATTCTTCCCCTACCCCCAGCCTCTGGTAACTACCATTCTACTTGTTTCTATGAATTTGACTTTTCTAAGTAACTTGTATAAGTAGAGTCATGTAGTATTTGTCCGTTTTTTTTTACCCCTTGCCCCGAGAGTTTTGCTCTGTCGCCCAGGCTGGAGTGCAGTGGCACTACCTTGGCTCACTGCAACCTCCGCCTCTTGGGTTCAAGCAATTCTCCTGCTTCAGCTTCCTGAGTTGCTGGGATTACAGGTGTGTGCCACCATGCCTGGCTAATTTTTGTATTTTTAGTAGAGACGGGGTTTCACCATGTTGGCCAGGCTGGTCTTGAACTCCTGACCTTGTAATCAATCTACCTGCCTCCTCTTCCCAAAGTACTGGGATTACAGGTGTGAGCCACTGCACCCTAGCCTTATTTGTCCTTTTTTGACTGGCTTATTTCACTTAGCATAATGTCTTTGAGGTGCATCCATGTGGTAGCATGTGTTAGAATATCTTCCCTTCTTAAGGCTGAATAATTTTCCATTGTGTATATATGTCACATTTTGCTTATCCATTCATCTATTGATGGACACTTGGGTATCTTCCACTTTTTGGCTATTATGAATAATGGTGCTTTTTAATTAATTAATTTATTTTTTATTTTTAAAATTTATTTATTTATTTTGAGACGGAGTCTTGCTCTGTTGCCCAGGCTGGAGCGCAGTGGCACGATCTCAGCTCACTGCAAGCTCCACCTCCCGGGTTCACGCCATTCTCCTGCCTCAGCCTCCTGAGTAGCTGGGACTACAGTCGCCCGCCACTACGCCTGGCTAATTTTTTGTATTTTTAGTAGAGACGGGGTTTCACCGTGTTAGCCAGGATGGTCTCGATCTCCTGACCTTGTGGTCCTCCCGCCTTGGCCTCCCAAAGTGCTGGGATTACAGGCGTGAGTGACCGTGCCCGGCCAATAATGGCACTCTTAACATGGAAGTACAAGCATCTCTTTGAGACTCTGCTTTGAGATTTGTTTTTGGTGCCTACCCAGAATTGGAATTGCTGGATCATATGGTAATTTAGTTTTTGATTTTTTTTTTTTAAGGAACCACCATTCTTTTAATGATGGTTGTACCACTTTAAATTCCCATCAGCAGTGCACAAGGGTTCTAGTTTTTGTACATCCTCACCGATGCTTTCTGTGTTTTTAAAATTAAACAAAAAAACAATTATAGTGTTACAGCTCTTTTAGAATTTGTCTAGCAGGTTTTCTGGTCTTTATCGGAAAATTCCCGGCTCTTCTGTCTAAAAAAAAAAAAAAAAATTGTAATCGCTATCCCTAAAGGGTAGGAAGTAGGAATCTTATGGTTATAATTTTTTTTTTTTTTTAAATTGAGGTGGAGTTGTTCTTACAGTGTTGTCTAGGCTGGTCTCAAACTCTTGGGCTCAAGCAGTCTTCCCATCTTAGCCTCAAAATAGCTGGGATTGCAGGTGCATGCCACCGTGCCCAGCTTAGAATCATGTTTTGATGACATACTTAATTATGTGCTTGACACTTAGTAGCTAGTCAATAAATGTTTGTTCAACAAATCAAAGAAAATTATATGCACAATTTTTTTTTTTTTTTGAGACGGAGTCTCGCTCTGTCGCCAAGGCTGGAGTACAGTGACGCGATCTCGGCTGACTGCAACCTCTGCCTCCCGGGTTCACGCCATTCTCCTGCCTTGGCCTCCTAAGTAGCTGGGACTACAGATGCCTGCCACCATGCCCGGCTAACTTTTTTGTATTTTTAGTAGAGACGGGGTTTCATTGTGTTAGCCAGCATGGTCTCGATCTCCTGACCTCATGATCTGCCTGCCTCGGCCTCGTGAATTGCTGGGATTACAGGCGTGAGCCACCGCACCCGGCCACACAATTGTTTCTTTAAGATTTATTATTTACAGCTGACTTTTGCTTTTAGGCATAGCCTGTTTCTTGACACATTTTAAATTGGGCTATTGGCAGGTAAAATCTTGGCTGGGTGCAATGTTGTTTTGGGGTTCAAATAGCAACTGCAAGTAGTAAGAGGCAGATAGCACTTCATGTACAGTGACTACATGTAGTGATAAAATGGTTGCTGGTTAAAATTGGTGGTACTTGAGATTTTTGTTTAGAATTGCTAAGCTCGTAAACCATAGACTTAGATTGCAGTAGTCGAATTGGTTTAACAGATACCAGCAAAATGTAAAATCCTCAAGGGCTACTTCTTGAGAATTTGTATTCCAGAGAGCTTTTATCTTTTATTGTAAGTGTCCTTGTTTTCTCTGAAGTACATGCTTATCTTTTACTATGATTGTTTTGCTTACCATCCCTACTTTCTTGCAGATTTTCTATTTTGTACATACATTATTTTGTATATACTGTATATGATGACTTCAGTGAGCAGTGACCATTGTCGAGGTGCTCGGGAAAAACCACAGATTTCAGCAGCACAATCAACGCAACCACAGAAACAAGTGGTACAGGTAAGTTTTTGTGGAACTCTTTTTTTTTTTTTCCTTTTTTTTCTTTTATTATTATACTTGAAGTTTTAGGGTATGTGGAACTCTTGTTTGCCTTGTTTAGAATTAAGGAAATTAAGGGAGAGCATATGATTTAATGTTTTCCTTTGTAGGAAACTTTAGGATTTTGGACCCTTTGTTTAAACAGTAGGTGATGGCCGGGTGCGGTGGCTCACGCCTGTAATCCCAGCACTTTGGGAGGCCGAGGTGGGTGGATCACTTGAGGTCAGGAGTTTGAGACTAGCCTGGCCAACATTGTGAAACCCTGCCTCTATTAAGAAAATACAAAAATTAGCTGGGCGTGGTGGTGTGCGCCTGTAATCCTAGCTTCTCGGGAGGCTAAGGCAGGAGAATCGCTTGAACTCAGGAGGCAGAGGTTGCAGTGAGCCCAGATCACGCCACTGCCCTCCAGCCTGGGTGACAAAGCGAGACTCCTTCCTAAAAAAAAAAATAAAATAAATAAAAAATAAAAAGTAGGTAATGAAGAATAGTAAGGAAAGAGGTATTGTACTTGATTCAGGTACAATTGGATGTTGTTCCATGAGAACTCTTTAATGCTAACCTTTTCCAGGTACCTCTTAGCTATTAGGCTGCCACTGCCACCACCACCACCACCACCACCACCACCACCACCACCACCACCGCCGCTGCCGCCGCTGCTGCCTCCTCCTCTTCCTCCTCCTCCTCTTCCTCCTTCTCTTCCTCCTCTTCCTCCTCTTCCTCCTCCTCCTCTTCCTCCTTCTCTTCCTCCTCTTCCTCCTCCTCCTCTTCCTCCCCTTCCTCTTCCTCCTCCTCTTCCTCCTATTCCTCCTCTTCCTTCTATTCCTCCTCTTCCTCCTCCTCCTCCTCCTCTCCCCTTTCACCTTGCTCTGCTTCCCTTCCTCCTCCTTCCCTGCTGCTTCATCATCATCTCCTCTCCCTTTTCTCCCTTCTATTAATTTAAGTGTGTCCTTGGAATGAAATATGAAAATCCAAGGTAGATGGAGAACTAATAGTCTGAAGTAGTAAAATACCTGAATTACAATAGACTTTAAAAAGCTGCCTTTGCTGGGCATAGTGGCTCATGTCTGTAATCTCAACACTTTGGGAGGCTGAGGCAAAAGGGTTGCTTGAGCCCAGGAATTAAGAGCAGGCTGGGCAACATAGTGAGGACCTTGTCTCTACAAAAAGTTTAAAAAGTAGCTGGGCATGATGGCTTCCATTTGTAGTCCCAGGTACTTGGGCGGCTGAGGTGGGAGGATCACTTATGATGATGCTACTGCACTCCAGCCTGGGTGACAGAGTGAGACCTTGGCTCAACAAAAAAGCAAAAACCTGCCTTTTCTTCAAAGCACAAGGAAGAGTGCTTGAATCTTAGAATGGCTTTTAATGATCAAGATCCACTTGAGGCCGGGCGCAGTGGCTCATGCCTGTAATTCCAGCACTTTGGGAGGCCGAGGTGGACAGATCACCTGAGATCAGGAGTTCGAGACCAGGCTGGCCAACATGGTGAAACCCTGTCTCTACTAAAAAAAAAAAATACGAAAATTAGCCAGGCATGGTAGTGGGTGCCTGTAATGGCAGTTAGTCGGGAGGCTGAGGCAGGGAGAATTGCTTGAACCCGGGAGGCAGAGGTTGCAGTGAGCCAAGATCACACCACTGCATTCAAGCCTGGGCAACAGAGCGAGACTCTGTCTCAATAAAACAAAGACCCATTTGAATAAAATTTTTAATGTTAAATACTCCCTCCTCCTCAATTTGGTTATATTATTATTTTAAGTGAAGTGAGATAAGTGCTAAGCACAGTACCTGGTGCAAAATTAAGCATTATATACATGTTATTGACTAGATTGGCAAACCCTTTTTCATAGGCAATATGCAAGTAAGTAAACTATATCCAGTTTGTCTTACTTGCAGATTGATTTGACTATACTTTGATAGTTAATTAAAAGTGCTTCTTAAAATCACTCATTTATACCCAAGTGCCCTGTTGATGTTAGGGGACATAGTGAGGAGATTTAAGTGTTGCGTTACATTTTTCAGTATAAAGTTAGTGTAGTATTCTGCTGGTATTAACAGACAGATATCTCTGCTACTCAGTGCTTGATCCTAAATACACTTACTCTGATAGGAATTTATTCACAAACTGATCTAGTCCAGTGATGGAAAAATTTGGAGGTTTTAGGCTAGGTCCTCCTTTTATAGTTGAATTTACTTAGGAAAAAGTTTGCTTAATGAATGGTCTTTTTTTTTTTTTTTTTGAGACGGAGTCTGTCGCAGTGGCCAGTCTCGGCTCACTCCAACCTCCACTTCCCGGGTTCAAGTGATTCTCTTGCCTCAGCCTTCCAAGTAGCTGGGACTACAGGCAGGCAACATCATGCCTGCCTAATTTTTTTTTGTTTCTTCGAGATGGAGTCTCCTTCTGTCGCCCAGGCTGGAGTGCAATGGTGCCATCTCAGTTCACAGCAACCTCCGCCTCCTGGGTTCAAGCGATTCTCCTGCCTCAGCCTCTCAAGTAGCTGGGATTACAGGTGCCTGCCTCCACCTCCAGTTAATTTTTGTATTTTTAGTAGAGACAGGGTTTCACCATGTTGCCCAGCCTGGTCTCCAACACCTGAGCCCAAGTGACTGCCCCCTTAGCCTTCAAAGGTGCTGTGATTATAGGCGTGAGCCACCGCACCTGACCTTTTTTTTTTTTTTTTTTTTTTTTGAGACAGTCTCGCTCTGTAGCCCAGTCTAGAGTGCAGTTACTCTATCTTGGCTCATTGTAACCTCCGCCTCTGGGGTTCAGGCGATTCTCCTGTCTTATCCTCCCCAGCAGCTGGGATTACAGGCGTGAGCCACCATGCCCGGCTAACTTTTTTGCATTTTTAGTAGAGATGAAGTTTCACCATGTTGGCCAGGCTGGTCTCAAACTCCTGACCTCAAGTGATCTGTCCCCCCCTTGATCTCCCAAGGTGTTGGGATTACAGGTGTGAGCCACTGCACCTGGCCCTTTTAAATTTTTTTCTTTTAAACACTAGTATGCATTAGGAAAATTATTGATGTTTATTTATTCATTAATCCTATTCTGGGAAGTATTTGCTAAGAAAGTAATCTTAAATTGGTGTCATAAAAAGTGGCTTTATTTGGCAATTTTTTTCTTTCTTTTTTTTTTTGAGATGGAGCCTCGCTCTGTCGCCCAGGCTGGAGTGCAGTGGCGCGTTCTCAGCTCATTGCAACCTCTGCCTCCTGGGTCCAAGCGATTCTCCTGCCTCAGCCTCTGGAGTAGCTGGGATTGCAGGCATGTATCACCATGCCTGGCTAATTTTTGTATTTTTGGTAGAGACGGGGTTTCGCCGTGTTGGCCAGGCTGGTTTCAAACTTCTGACCTCAGGTGATCCGCCCACCTTGGCCTCCCAGAGTGCTGGGATTAAAGGCATGAGTTACCACGCCCTGCCGGTAAGATGTTAATTACTCAATTTTAAATGTCCAGTGTTATGTTAGAGGTGTTCTGAGATAACCTATTCAGGTTGCATGATGAAAGAGAGTTTTTTATTTTTTGAGACGGAGTTTTGCTCTTGTTGTCCAGGCTGGAGTGCAATGGTGCGATGTCAGCTCACTGCAACCTCTGCCTCCACCTCGCCTGGCTAATTTTTTGTATGTTTGGTAGAGACGGGGTTTCACCATGTTGGTCAGGCTGGTCTTGAATTCCTGACTTCAGGTGATCCACCCAGCTCCGCCTCCCAAAGTGCTGGGATTACAGGCGTGAGCCACTGCAGCAGGTGGTGAGAGTTCTTTTGAATCCGTATAAACCAGGATTTTTGTCCTGGGTCTAGCACTTAGTAATTAGATGAGTTACTTAAATCTCCTTTAACCTCTTTTTTTTTTTTTTTTTTTTTTGAGCTAGAGTCTCACTCTGTTGCCCAGGCTGCAGTGCAGTGGCTTGATCTCGGCTAACGGCAACTGTGCCTCCTGGGTTCAAGTGATTCTCCTGCCTCAGCCTCCAGAGTAGCTGGGACTACACTTGTACATCACCACACCCGGCTAATTTTAGTAGTTTTAGTAGAGAGGGGTTTCACCATGTTGGCCAGGTTAGTCAGTTTTGAATTCCTGACCTCAGGTGATCTGCCCACCTCAGCTTCCCAAACTGCCCGGATTATAGGTGTGAGCCCCTGGGCCTGACCGTGAACCTCAATTTAAAAAAAAAAAAAATACATTGTGAGATTTACGGAAAAGTTGCAATGGGAATATGAATAATTACTGAATACCCTTTTTTCAGATTCCCCAGATTTTAACATTTCTGTCACATCTACTTTATCCTGTTCTCTTCCTTTCCCTACAGTTTATTCCCAGAAACGTTTGACAAGTAGTTGTGAATAAGGTTCTTCTTCACTTAATACCTCAGTGTTTTTTAAAAAACAAGGATCTTTTTACATAATTACAGTACAATTATAAAAAATCAGAACATCTACAGACCATACTTATATTTTTTCAATGGTCCTCATAATGCCTTTTTTTTTTTTTGAGACAGTTTTACTTTGATGCCCAGGCTGTAGTGCAGTGGTGCGATCTCAGCTCACTGCAACCTCCGCCTCCTGGGTTCAAGTGATTCTCCTGCCTCAGCCTCCCGAGTAGCTGGGATTATAGGCATGCGCCACCATGCCTGGCAAATTTTTATATTTTCAGTAGAAACGAGGTTTCGCCATGTTGGCCAGGCTGCTCTCGAACTCCTGACCTTAGGTGATCCGCCTGCCTTGACCTCCCAAAGTGCTGGGATTACAAGCATGAGCCACTGGGCCCAGCTGTAATGTCCTTTTTAGCTAATTAGATTGTGGAATATACATTGTATTCAGATGTCAACTCTCTTGTGAATTTATGTGAAAATTCCACAAAATTATGTGAACATTCCACAATTATGAAGTGATTATAAGAATATTTGAAAATTATGATATAAAATGTCTTAGAAAAGGTATACTTCCTGATCAACTGAAAAAAATATGTAAAGTTAATGCAAAACTGTTGAACATTAATGAGTACAGGCTTAGTAGACTGTTAATGTTTATCTTTGGTGGTGGGCATAAATAATCCTACTTTATTATTATTTCCAATTTTTTTCTGGGTGACAGCTCTAATTAAAAAAAATTTGGATTCATTTGAAAAATTTCACATTTTCCACTGTGAAAGCAGCTTAGTTCGTAATAAGCCATATGAATGGGTAAGAGATCCAGAGGAAGAGCTGTAGTGATGGTACTTTTCTTGGCAAGATATTTTTCAACTTGAGATGTGACCTAGTGTATGTCACTAATGTTTATTGCAGGGGAGGGTGCACTGACCTTGTTTAACTTAAGAATTACCAGTTGATCCTGATTTTTCCTCTTTTTTCCCAAGCTGTACCGACCTCTTGACACTTCCTAGAGCTCAGCCTGGTAACTTCCCTATTATACTCTTATGTTTGGTGCTTTGTTTATCAAATATTTATTGAATTGTTTATCAAAGAAAATTATTTTTTTCTTGACTCAGGGTATTTTATAAAGTTAAAAAAAATACTTAAAGTTCTCATTAAAATTTATTTTCATAAATATGCTAGCACTAGTGTTACTATATTGTTATTGTTAAATGACTATTATGTGTATTGGCTATGCTTTCAGAAGTAGTCTGTCTATCCCTTTTATGAATAAAAAAGATATTACTGAAGAGAAATACAGTATTTGTGTCATATAATACTTAAGCTGAAAAAGCTAAGTCTGAATAAATCAGTCATTGGCATTTACCTTACATATGGCAATGAATAGTGACTTTATAGTTAGAAATGTATGGGTGAAACAGTATCAGAATGATAATGTAGAAACATATATAAGCCCCAGACTGCCCCCTACAGCAAAATGCGATTATTAATAACTATTCTGCTTGAAATATTTGGTGAGATTCTTTCACCCATCAAGTGCTTGTTTGTTAATATTTTAATCGGGTCGGTGTTTCTTTGGTTTTGTAAATTGTGCACGTTTACAAAGCACTGGCTGTTCTCAGGCAGTTTTCAAGTTTAAATATTCTTGCCTTTAGGGTCATTATTTGTTCCTGGTTCCCCCACTCTGCCATTACTTTTTCATACTTTTTCCACAAAGATTTCAGCCATACTCCCTGACTTTGGTTTATCTTCTACTCTGACATATCTGCATGAAGTAGTTTCTGTCTGAAATGTCTTGAAACCAGGGATGTTCTTATAATAATACTTACTGTGCAGTGAGTGGATAGCCACAAGTAATCCATAATTTTACTTTTTAAAAAAAAATGTTTGTTGTAGCTCCTGTTTAACACATCTACCACCCCAAGCCGCCGCCTGTACTCCTTTTCTGTCTGCCAAAATCCCTCCCCACAATGCTTTATTATGAAAATGGTCACAGATGAAGAAAAGTTGAGAGTTGTACAGTCAATATCCATATGTTCTATTACCTTTTTGCTCTATTTGTTTTATCACATCTGTTTAGCCAGCCATTATTTTATCTAAGTTTTTAATGCTTTTCAAAGTGAATTAAATGATTAATGGTACTCTTAATCACTTCAGAATGGATGTCATTGACTAGGGTGTATTATTTGTTTATTGTCTTTTTTTTTTTTTTTTTTTTTTATGAGGCAGAGTTTCTGCCCTTGTTGCCTAGGCTGGAGTGCAGTGGCGCGATCTGGGCTCACTGCAACCTCCATCTCCCAGGTTCAAGTGATTTTCCCACCTCAGCCTCCTGAGTAGCTGGGATTACAGGCACCTGCCATCATGACTGGCTAATTTTTCTATTTTTAGTTGAGACGGGGTTTCACCATGTTGGCCAGGATGGTCTCAAACTCCTGACCTCAGGTGATCTGCCCGCCTTGACCTCCCAAAGTGCTGGGATTACAGGTGTGAGCCACTGTGCCTGGCTGTTTTTTTTTTTTTTTTTTAATAGACAGGACCTCGGGCTGGGCGTGGTGGCTCATGCCTGTAATCCCAGCACTTTGGGAGGCCAAGGCAGGTAGATCACCTGAGGTCAGGAGTTTGAGACCAGCCTGACCAAGATGGAGAAACTCCGTCTCTACTAAACATACAGAATTAGCCAAGCATGGTGGCACATGCCTGTAATCCCAGCTACTTGGGAGGCTGAAGCAGGAGAATCTCTTGAACCCAGGAGGCGGAAGTTGCGATGAGCAGAGATCCCACCATTGTACTCCAGCCTGCACAACAAGAGCGAAACTCTGTCTCAAAAAAAAAAAAAAAAAAGGAAATATAAGTCATTTATTTTTCATTTGTTACATGGAATATTTACATAGATTGTTTCCTGCTGGGCATGGTGGCTTACTCCAGTAGTCCCAGCAGAGGTGGGAGGATTGCTTGAGTCCAGGAGTTCGAGACCAGCCTGAGTAACGTAGTGAGACCTGTCTCTACAAAAATTACAAACTTCTTATACTGTATGGTAGGATAAGTGCTTGAATCTATTGGCTTACCAATTAATAAAAAAACATTTTGAACCGGGACATGGTGGCTAACACCTGTAATCTCAACACTTTGGGAGGCTGAGGTGGGAGGATTGTTTGAGCTCTGGAGTTCAAGACCATCCTGGGCCAAGTAGCGAGACCCTGTCTCCATAAAAAATATTTTTTAAAAAATTTATAAGAAAAAAACCTTTTTGGCCAGGTGTGGTGGCTTGCGTCTGTAATCCCAGCACTTTGGGAGGCTGAGACGGGTGGATCACCTGAGGCCAGGGGTTCGAGACCAGCCTGGCCAACATTACAAAACCCCATCTCTACTAAAAATAGAAAAATTAGCTGGCCGTGGTGGTGTGCACCTGTAATCCCAGCTACTTGAAGGGTGAGGCACAAGAATCACTTGAACCCAGGAGGCAGAGGTTGCAGTGAGCCGAGACTGTGCCACTGTGCTCCAGTGTGGGCGACAGAGCAAGATTCTGTCTCAAAAAAAAAACAAAACAAAACACCAAATTTTTAGGGAAAAATTATTTTGGAATAATTTTAAGAGTTGTAAAAAAGTTGCAAAGAACGATAGAGATAGAGATATATTCACCCCGCTATCCTAAATGTTAACTTTTTTTTTTTTTTTTTTTTTTTTTTGAGACAGTCTCGCTGTGTCGCCAGGCTGGAGTGCAGTGGCGTGACCTTGGCTCACTGCAACCTCTGCCTTGTGGGTTCAAGCCATTCTCCTGCCTCAGCCTCCAAAGTAGTTGGGACTACAGGCGCACACCACTGTGCTCAGCTAATTTTTGTTTTTTCAGTAGAGACGGGGTTTCACCATGTTGGCCAGGATGGTCTCGATTTCTTGACCTTGTGATCCGCCTGCCTCAGCCTACCAAAGTGCTGGGATTACAGGCAGGAGCCACTGTGCCTGGTCAGCTTTTTACATAAAGGATTGCCTAACCTTTTCTGTAAAGTGTTAGTATATATCTTACGCTTTGCAGTCCAGACACAATCTCTGTTGCATTTTGATTTTATTACATTTTTGAGACGGGGTCTCATGTTGGCCAGGCTGGTCTGGAACTCCTGACCTCAGGTGATCCGTCTGCCTCAGCCTCCCAAAGTGCTGAGATTACAGGCCTGAGCTACTGCACCCAGCTGATGACAGAGTTTTTGACTTCTTTTGTGTTATGTCTTATTGCTTCCACACACCATCCTGGTTCAAAGGGAACCAGAAGGTGGTAGAATTAGATTATCCCAAAATTACTCATTTTCTGTGTCCCACTTTTTTTTTTTTTTTTTTGAGACGGAGTTTCGCTCTTGTTGCCCACGCTGCAGTGCAATGGCGCGATCTTAGCTCACCGCAACCTTCGCCTCTTGGGTTCAAGCAGTTTTCCTGTCTCAGCCTCCCAAGTAACTGGGATTACAGGCATGCGCCACCATGCCCGGCCCGGCTAATTTTGTATTTGTATGTGTATTTTTGTTTTTTGAGACGAGTCTCACTCTGTCGCCATGCTGGAGTGCAGTGGCGCGATCTCGGCTCACTACAACCTTCGCCTCCCAGGTTCAAGCGATTCTCCTGCCTCAGCCTCTGGCCCTCTTTTAAAATAATTGGTCACTAGGACGGTTCAGCATATGCAACTCAATGAACAGGATACATCTCATTAAGAAAAACAAGGACAGGCCAGTGCGGTGGCTTATGCCTGTAATTGCAGCACTTTGGGAGGCCGAGGCGGGCAGATCATGAGGTCAGGAGATAGAGACCATCTTGGCTAACAAGGTGAAACCCCGACTCTATTATAAATGGAAAAAAAAATTAGCCGGGAGTGGTGGCGGGTGCCTGTAGTCCCAGCTACTCGGGAGGCTGAGGCAGGAGAATGGCGTGAATCGGGGAGGCAGAGCTTGCAGTGAGCCGAGATCACTCCACTGCACTCCAGCCTGGGCAACAGAGCGAGACTCAGTCTCAAAAAAAATAAAAATAAAACATACAAGGACAAAAAACATATGATCATTTCAATAAACGCTGAAAAATGTATGTGAAAAAATTCAACATCCCTTTGTGGTAAAGATTATCAACAACCTGAGTGTGGAAGGAACATACCTCAAAATAATAAAGGCTATTTTTTTTTTTTTTTGAGACAGGGTCACCCAGGCTGGAATATAATGATGCGAACATGGCTCACGGTAGCCTTGACCCCCCTAGGCTCAAGAGATCCTTCTGCCTCAGCCTCTCGGGTAGCTGGGACTAATGGTGTGCACTTCCATACTTGGCTAATGTTTTATTTTTTGAAGAGACAGCGTCTCACCAAGTTACCCACAGGGCTGGTTTCAAACTCTTAGGCTCAAGGGATCCACCTTCCTCAGCCTCCCAAAGTGTTGGGATTACAGGCGTGAGTCACTGCACCTGGCCTCACTTGAGTACTAGAACTTCTAGCCAGAGCAAATAGGCAAGAGAAGGAAATAAAGGGGTCTAGATTGCAAAGGAAGAAGTCACATTATATTCTTATTTATAGATGACATGTTGTATTTAGAAAAACCTAAAAACTCCATCAAACATCTGTTAGAACTGAGAAATGAATTCAGTGAAGTTGCAGGATACAAAATCAACAACAAAAATTAGCCTTTATATATATCAACAGCAAAACAGTTGTACTCTGTCTACATTGTTCAGGTACTCATTATATAGTATATGCTTCTCCTTTGGCCATTTAGTAAATAATATGTTCAGTAGTCACTGTCAATACTTAAGTCAGTTTCTCTAGTCGTTTTGATTGTCTGAACCCATTGCTTTTGTTGATTCCTCTGAAAGGAATTATGAGAACAATATTCCTTGTGTTTGGTGGTGTTCACAATTTATACCTTTTATACTTGAGTAGAACATCAGTTTTGTTGGCTCTAAGTGCTAGGCCCACATTTTCTTTACGTTATCTTTTTTTTTTTGAGACAAGGTCTCACTTTGTCACCCAGACTGGAGTGCAGTGGCACGGTCATGCTCACTGCTCCCTTCTCCCTTGACCTCCTGGACTCAGATAATCCTCCTACCTCAGCCTCTTGAGTAGCTGGGAGCACAGGTGCATGCCACCACACTGGTTAATTTTTGTATTTTTTTGTAAAGGGTTTTGTTGTGTTGCACAGGCTGGTCTCAAACGCCTGAGCTCGAGCAATCTGCCTGCCTCAGCCTTCTGAACTGCTGGAATTACAGGTGTGAACTGCTGTACCTGACTATCTTAAATATTAATTTTTTCTTGCGCAAAGCATTGCTCTTGACAAGTTTGTTGATATTCTAATTTCATTCTCTTCTGTGTCTCTTGACATTTCTGCCTAGTTGTCCAGTGGATGTTTGTTCTTTTAGAGTCCAGTTCTTCTTCTTTTTTTTTTTTTTTCTTTTTGAGATGAGTCTCACCCTGTCTCCCAGGCTGGAGTGCAATGGTGCGATCTCGGCTCACTGCAACCTCTGGCCTCCCGGGTTCAAGCGATTCTCCTGCTTCGGCTTTCCAAGTAGCTGGGATTACAGGTGCACGCCACCATGCCCGGCTAATTTTTTTGTATTTTTAGTAGAGATGGGGTTTCACTGTGGTGGCCAGGCTGGTCTTGAACTCCTGACCTCAAGTGATCTGCCCGCCTCAGCCTCCCAAAGTGCTGGGATTATAGGCATGAGCCACCACGCCTGGCCAGAGTCCAGTTCTTAAACTAAAGAATAAGAATGTCTTAGTGTGGACTGATTATTTAGGGATTGATATTCTCAAGGACGGTGTATTTTCATTGACATATTTATGCATTTTTTGGTTTGTTTTCCAGACATTTTTCTTAAATTTTAGTTTTAAGGCTCTATACTGTATTTTTATTCTTTGGAGGCTTATTGTCCATAGCTTTAAGTTGGGTTGTCTTTTGCCTATCTTCAGTGTTTGACACTTTGCTTTCTTTTCTCCCATTCCTATTTATCTCTTCATTTCTCTTTCCTTTTATTTCCTTTTTACAGGAAAAAAATTTCCCCAGTTTTATTCTCTGTTATTCTTGAGACATTAATTGTTAAGTTTTATATTCCTTGTAGTTTAGACTCCATTTTCATATGTGATAGGACTTTCTTTAAATTATTATTTCTTGAATTCTGTAATTTAAAGAAGAAATAGAAAAACTTAGAGATATGTTATTCTTTTATCAGATTTTTTTTTTTTTTTTTTTTTTTTGAGACAGGGTCTTGCCCTGGCTTCCAGGCTGGAGTGCAATGGCATGATCTAGGCTCACTGCACCCTCTGCCTCCCAGGTTCAAGCGATTCTCACACCTCAGCCTTCCAGGTAGCTGAGACTACAGGTATGCGCCACCATGCCTGGCTAATTTTTTTTTTTTTTTTTTTTCTTGAGACACAGTTTCACTCTGCTGCCCAGGCTGGAGTACAGTGGTGAGATCTCAGCTCACTGCAACCTCCGCCTCTCGGGTTCAAATGATTCTTGTGCCTCAACCTCCTGAGTAGTTGGGATTTCAGGCTCGTGCCACCACGCACTGCTAATTTTTGTATTTTTAGTGTAGACGGGGTTTCACCATGTTGGCCAGGCTGGTCTTGAACTCCTGACCTCAAGTGATCCGCCTGCCTCAGCCTCCCAAAGTGCTGGGATTACAGGCCTGAGCTACCATGCCCGACTGTTGTTTTCAATGGGATTTAAGAAAAAGGTGATGCAAGAAGTGTCTGATTTTTAAATGTTTTACAGAGATGGGGGTCTCACTATGTTGCCCAGGCTGGTCTCCTCCTGACTCAGCCTCCCAAAGTGCTGGGATTATAGGCGTGAGTCACCGTGCCCAGCCTTAAAATTTACTTTTTTTTTCCCTATTTTTTTTTTTGGAGACAGAATCTCGCTCTTTTGCCCAGGCTGGAGTGCAGTGGCGCTATCTCGGCTCACTGCAAGCTCCGCCTGCCAGGTTCACGCCATTGTCCTGCCTCAGCCTCCCGAGTAGCTGGGACTACAGGTGCCCGCCACCACGCTCGGCTAATTTTTTGTATTTTTTTAGTAGAGACGGGGTTTCACCGTGTTAGCCAGGATGGTCTCGATCTCCTGACCTCGTGATCCACCCGCCTTGGCCTCCCAAAGTGCTGGGATTATAGGCGTGAGCCACTGCGCCCAGCCTTTTTTTTTCCTTTTTTTGTGACCAGGTTGTTCTGTCACACAGGCTGGAGTGCAGTGGCGCCATCTTGGCTCACTGCAACCTTGACCTCCTCGGGCTAAGGTGATCCTCCCACCTTAGCCTCTGGGGTAGCTGGGACTACAGCACTTACCACCACACTTGGCTAGTTTTTCTGTTTTTTTGTAGAAATGAGGTTTTGCAGTCTTAATAGTGAGCTAAGAAATAAAAATTACACCAAATATAGACCATTTTAAGTAATTAAAAAGTTTTAAAAGCTTTTTTAAAAAGTTCATTATGCCCGTTTTGGGAAAGGTTTTGAGGAGGCAGGTTCTCTTATTTACTGCTCGTTGAGTATATATCTTTATAGCCTTTGTGCAGAGCATTTTTGTGGAGATGGTTTTAAACTCCTTTTAACACTGGTAGACATTTCTTTGACCCTATAGTTTTACTTCTTTGTATTCATTGTTAGAAAGCTATATTTGGGGCTGGGCGTGGTGGCTCATACCTGTAATCCCAGCACTTTGGGAGGCCGAGGTGG
The DNA here is from genome assembly GCF_000001405.40 of Homo sapiens. NCBI lineage: Eukaryota > Metazoa > Chordata > Mammalia > Primates > Hominidae > Homo > Homo sapiens. The sequence continues at coordinate 34,003,964 of NC_000009.12, read as the reverse complement.
GCGGATCACCTGAGGTCAGGAGTTTGAGACCAGCCTGATCAACATGATGAAACCCTGTCTCTACTAAAAATACAAAAATTAGCCGGGCATTGTGGCATGTGCCTGTAATCCCAGCTACTCAAGAGGCTGAGACACTAGAATTGCTTCAACCTGGGAAGTGGAGGTTGCAGTAGCCAAGATCGCACCACTGCACTCCAGCCTGGGCAACAAGAGTGAAACTCTGTCTCAAAAAAAAACAAAAGAAAGAAATCTTTCTTTGGCCGTGTGTGGTGGCTCACGCCTGTAATCCCAGCACTTTGGGAGGGCAAGGCAGGAGGGTCATTTAAGGTCAGGAGTTCAAGACCAGCCTGAATAACATGGTGAAACCGCATCTGTACTAAAAATAGTAAAAATTAGCTGGGTGTGGTGGCGAACACCTGTAATCTCAGCTACTGGGGAGGCTGAGGCTGGAGAATCGCTTGAACCTGGGAAGCGGAGGTTGCAGAGAATCCCTTGAACCTGGGAGGCGGAGGTTGCAGTGAGTCGCGATCACGCCACTGCACTCCAGCCTGAGCAGCAGAGCATGACTGTCTCAAAAAAAAAAAAAAAAGCCATCTTTGATGTATGTACAGATTTGGGTATAAGAATGGACCTCAGCCTGCCACAGTGGTGCATACCTGTAATCCCAGCACTTTGGGTGGCCAAGGTGGGCAGATCACTCGAGGTCAGACGTTCAAGACCAGCCTGACCAACATGGTGAAACCCCGTCTCTACCAAAACCAAAAATTAGCAGGGCGTGGTGGCATGCCTGTAGTCCCAAGCATGAGAATTGTTTGAACCTAAGAGGCGGAGGTTGCAGCGAGCCGAGAGCACACTACTGCAAGGCAACAGAGGGAGACTTCGTCTCAAAAAAAGAAAAAAAAAAACAACGAAAGAAAAGAATGGATCTCTGGCAGTGTTTTAGTAGTAATAAAAATTTGCAGAGTAAGAAAGATATAGGCCGGGCACTGTGGTTTATGCCTGTAATCCTAGCGCTTTGGGAGGCTGAGCAGAGGAATTGCTTAAGCTCGGGGGGTTCAATATTAATCTGGGCAACATGGCGGAACCTTGTTTGTACTAAAAACAAAACATTAACCAGGTGTCGTGTTGTGCGCCTGTATTCCCAGCTATTGGGGGAAATTATGGGGGGTGGAGTGCGTGAGGTGGGAGGATTGCTTGAGCCTGGGAGGCAGCTGTAGTGAGCACTGATTGTGCCATTGCACTCCAGCCTAGCCGACACAATGAAACCCTAGCTTAAAAAAAAGATGTTAAGGCTGGGCGGGTGGCTCACACCTGTAATCCCAGCACTTTGGGAGGCCGAGGTGGGCGGATCATGAGGTCAGGAGTTCGAGACCAGCCTGACCAACATTGTGAAACCCGTTCTCTACTAAAAATACAAAAATTAGCCAGGCGTGGTGGCATGCACCTGTAATCCTAGCTATTCAGGAGGCTGAGGCAAGAGAATCGCTTGAACCTGGGAGATGGAGGTTGCAGTGAGCCGATATCGCGCCATGCACTCCAGCCTGGGCGACAGAGCGAGACTCTGTCTCAAAAAAAAAAAAAAAAAAAGCACCTATGCAGTGGATTGTCATGTAGCATTAAACGTGATATAGATATTCATAATAAATTGTGTCTGTGAGTGATTCCACATGGTAGTATGTTAAGTATTCTGTTTTTGATAAAAGAGGAAAATAGCCAAGTGTGGTGGCTCATGCCTATAATTCCAGCTCTTTGGGAGGCAGAAGTAGGAGGATTGCTTGAGTTCAGGAGTTTGAGACCAGCATGGGCAACACAGTGAGACCTTGTCTTTATGAAAATAACAACAACAAATTAGCCAGGCATGGTGGCTGCCATGGTTGCTACTCAGGAGGCTGAGGTCAGAGGAGTGCTTGAGCCTGGGAGGTCGAGGCCATGGTGAGCTGTGATTGTGCCACTGCATTCCAACACAGAGTGAAACCCTGTTTTTTTGTTTTTTTTTTTTAATGAAAAAATATAAATACCAAATACATAAATAGTTTTGGTGTTAGATGGTCACTTTATGGATTTTTCAATTTTTCTTGTGTTTGACTTGTAAAGCTTATAATTTAAGAAACTGTAATGATGGGAAGGGATGAGCATCAGTGGTGCTTGGATTGGAACAAGGCTACCTGAATCTGCTGGTATGGTACATTTTTTAGGTTTGAAACACAGGGAGCAGAAAATAATAGTGTTAGGGAAAACAGGCAAACTCTTCATACAGGCTTCTTGCAACAGGGACACTAACAGTCTACTTTCATTTTGTGAAAATTGATTATATGAATTGGAGTTATCTTGTCATACCCAACTAAATTTAGAGTCAGTGGACCAAGGGTTACGGTAAAAAAGTGCTTGGGGCACAAACCGCTTGCCCAGGGATTATATTGCAGGCCAGCTGCCACAATGACATGCTGTAACCTTAAATCCAGTTTTACCTACTAGCTGTTGAGATGAACTCTTGTGACTCTAAGTCTAGTTTTACCAACCGTGTTCACTCACCAATCAGAGCTTACCAGCTCCCAAAAGCTTTAGTAGTTCCAGTGAGTTTTCTTTCAAAACAATAGGTCACATTTCTTTTTCTAATAAAACTCCCAACCTTCTTTGTGTTCTTTGGACACACTAGGAGGCTACCCTAGTATGTGTATGTATGTATGTCCTGGATTGCAATCCTACTTATATATTCTTTCTAAATAAAACCTTTTTTACTTAGAGATTTGTTTCTCTCTATATTTTTGACTTTAACAGTTCATAACAAGTTGTCATTACTCCAAACCCAAATGTATAATGTGGAAATGCCATCTTTTAAAAACCCATCTCTCCCTTTGCTTTTCCCTTTTACTTCATCTAGTTGTCATGACAGTGGTGCTCTTGGCTGTGGCACTGGGACTTATTGGTTGGTTATGATTCAGGAAAATGATTGTCTGATTTAGGGATAGTGAGAGTATATGTAAGGTCCTTACATTTACAGGGAACAATTGAGGTAAGATTTTCAGTAAGGGTAGACACTGAATTTCTGTACCAATGTCTTTTTGGGTATAATGTAGCAGTATTGCAGCAGTTAAACTGAGGTCTCAGCAGGCATAGGTTGGGATGAACAGGCCAAAGCACCTGGAGTTTGTATAATCACCCACCCACATGGCCTGGAAAGGCCTTTTGAAAAGTGCTTTAAAATGCAAAAAATGTCAACAACTCCCACTTATCCCACTTCAGTCAAGATTATTTGAAATGAGTGTATATAAAAAACTCAGAATAAAAGCTGTTTATTAGTTCCTTATGGCTTTTCTTCCTCTAAGATCTTTTTGTAAACTGTTAAGCTTTTTAAATATTTGTGTTGGGAGTTAGTATAGACTTGGTTAGCGAGGCAACTTAAACTATTTTGGAGTAATTTTAGATTTAATAGACCGTTGTACAGAGATGATACAGATTGTTCCTGTATATTCCTCACCTAATTTCCCTGTTGTAATAATTACGGTACCTTCGTTAAAACTAAGAAACCAGACTGGCACATTACAAAGTCACGCCACAGAAGAATAACTTTCTTTAGAACTTTTCTGATTTTTTGTTGGTAAAAACATCAGAAAACGAAACTTCAGTCAGTAATGTGATTGAAAAAATATTTTGAGTGACAAAAGTAAATAGTTTTTCTGCAAATAGCCAGATGTGGTGGTGCGCACCTGTAGTCCAAGCTACATGGGAGGCTGAGGCGGCAGGATCTCTTGAACTCAGGAGTTGGAGGCTGCAGTGAGCTATGATGGCATCACTACACCGCAGTCTGAGGGGACAGAATGAGACCCTACCTTTAAAAAATTAAATAAATACGGCTGGGTGCAGTGACAGGCGCCTGTAATCCCAGCAACTCAGGAGGCTGAGGCAGAAGAATTGCTTGAACCTGGGCGGCAGAGGTTGCAGTGAGCCAAGATCGTGCCAGTGCACTCCAGCCTGGGCGACAGAGTGAGACTCCATCTCAAAATAAATAAATAAATACTCCAGCCTGGGCGACAGAGTGTGACTCCATCTCAAAATAACATACATACATACATACATACATACATACATACATACATACATACATACATACGTAGTAATCCCAGCTACTCTGGAGGCTGAGGCAGGAGCATTGGTTAAGCCTGGGAGGCGGAGGTTGCACAGTCAAGATCACGGCACTGCACTCCAGCTAGGGTAACAGCATGAGGCTCCATCTCAAAAAAAGAAAAAATCGTGAAGAGGGTAATTTTTGCCAGATGCAGTGGCTCAGGCCTGTAATCCCAGCACTTTGGGAGGCTGAGGTGGGAGGATCACTTGAGCCCAGGAGTTCAAGACCAGCCTGGGCAACATAGTGAAACCCTGTCTCTTAGAAAAACAAAATTATTGTGTATAAAAAAGATAATGTAACTTTAAAAATATTTTTAATTTAGCTAAATACAGCTTTTTTTCTTCAGAACTGACCAGCATACCTTTTTAGACCTGACAACAGAGCTTTTTTGACACAAAGTTCTAAGCCTGTGTCTGGGCAGTTGTTTGCATTACCTTTTATTTTTTCTTTTATTATTTTTTGCCTACCAACTACCTCTAAAGATTTCATTACTTTTTAAGCCTTTTTTTTTTTTAATCTTTTTAAAAATTAAATAGAGACAGGGTCTCTCTATGTTGCCCAGGCTAATTTCGAACTCCTGGGCTCAAGCAGTGCTTCTACCTTGGCTTCCCAAAGGCATGAGCCACCATGCCCCGCCAAGATTTTATTATTTTTTGTTCTTCTGCTTTCTCTTGAGCTGATTTCCCCCACTCTACCAAGGGAAAGAAGATTCAAGTAAGTCATTGGCCAGTTAAGATGAACAATAGCTTTAGGTCGTTTGGTCAAAGGAATGGGTCCTTTATGTTACTTAATTTGATGCTTATTTTTCCTATGGGAACAGGTTATATATGGTTGAGAGGCCTAAATTCACTGTCTTTTATTTGTTGTTACTTAGTATTTCTAGTGCTTGAGAGCCTTATCTGTTTGACCCAGATTTTGGAATCTAACTTATGCTTTTGGTGTTCAAATCCTTAACAATTGTATGTACTTTCCAGGCAACAGCTGAACAGATGCGTCTCGCTCAAGTGATCTTTGATAAGAATGATTCAGATTTTGAAGCTAAAGTTAAGCAGGTATGTTTCTGGCAAAGGATATCATCATTTTTATAATCTATTTTGATTGTGCTTAAAAAGATAATTTCAGTAAAGATTTTTGTTTTAAAGTATTACTTCTAGCTTCTAGTCTCACCTGAAATCTGTATATTGGATTTTGGACTTGTGATTAAAAATACCTTTATTGGTGGGCAAGTGAAGGAATTGAATACGTTCACCTGCCTTACAATATAATCTTTCTGAGTTACTAGTGTTTACATGTGAACATTGAACCAGACATTTCTGTAAGCACACTGAGGTTTTCCGATACCTGTGCATAGAAAGTATATCTAACATTTGGCACAGTCTCTGGGAATTGTGTTTAATGTTAGAGATGAACTGAATTACCTTTAAAAAATTTTTTTTTCATAGAGACGTGGTCTCACTCTGTTGCCCAGGCTGGAGTGCAGTGGTGCTGTCATAGTTCACTGCAGCCTCAAACTCCTAGGCTCACGCTATCCTGCTGCCTCGGTCTCCTGAGTAGCTATGACGACAGATGTTCATCACCATGCCCAGCTAATTTTTAAAATATTTGTAGAGACAGAGTCCTGCAGTGTTGCCTAGGCTAGTCTTGAATTCCTGGGCTCAAGCAATCTGCCTTGGCCTCCCAGAGTGCTGGGATTACAGGATTACTGGCCTGAATTGCCATTTCAAACATGGTTGTGATTTCATACTCTTGTTGGAAAAGTATAAAATTAAATTTTAAGGCAATGTCTTCATTTTGAACTTTAATAAGAGGTATTTTTGATAACTTAGTCTTAATTTCTAACTCTTCTTTGCTGACCCTTTCTCATCAAGATCCTAGAAACCAAGCTGTAACCGCTACCTCAGTGCCAGATATTCCAACTCTTGGTAGATGTCGTCTAATAATTGTTCTTTGGAGTAAAGGTCTCACAATGAAATCTTGTTTTGTCTCACAAGAAATCATAGATTTCTTTCTCTGGAATGAGATCTTCATACAGTTTGAGATATACTTCTGTATATTACATTGCCTTTTATCTGAATAGTATAGATAGAACACTGGCCCAGGAGTTCAGAGATTTAAGTTCTAATTTTAGTTCTGTCTGTCAATAATCTGATCACTGGGGAAATTTTGATGTTGACTGTGTGTCTTAAAAATTGTATGTTGCAGGCATTCACTTAGTACAGATCATTGATAAAAATGAGACATTTATTAGTAGCTATCCAAAGACTGAAGCATCAGAAAGCTATAGAGTATGCAGAACTTTTGCTGCTTGATAAAATGAAAAGATGAAAGCAGGGAGGCCAAATGGTATAGTGCAGAGAGCTGTGATTATGAGATCAGGAGGCCTGGGTTCTAGATGGGCTTTGCTATTAATTACCTTTGTGACCATAGACAAATCACTTGATATGTTGGGATCAAGCTGTTTTGAACTTCAGCTAGTACATGTTAAAATAGTTAAATGTAGTTAAAATGCAATAGATATTAAATCATAGATTTATTCACTGATACTTGAGAAACCTGCATTTTGCCTAGTCTGTGATCGTTCTAGTGATGAAAATGCTAAGTAACAAGTATCTCTTGCTAATGAGAATAAACTGAAGAGTTTCTTTCATCATTACTTCAAGCATAGCACCATGTTGAAGATCCTTGAGAAAATATGTCTAGGAGTGTGTTTTGTGATAGTAGCAGAATTCCACTTGTAAGACTTTAGGGTGTCATATAACTTAGTATGTACATGGAATGATGTTTTTTCTTCTTTTTTTTGAGGGGGGAGACAGGGTCTCGCTCTGTCTCCTGTGCTAGAGTGCAGTGGCACAATCATGGCTTATTGCAACCTTCACCTCCAGGGCTGAAGCAATCCTCCTACCACTACGCTCGGTTAATTTTTTGTAAAGATGAGGTCTCACTATATTGTCCAGTCTCGAACTCCTGGGCTCAAGCAATCCTCTCGTCTCTGCCTCCCAAAGTGTTGATTATAGTTGTGAGCCACTGCGGCTGGCCTTTGAAGTGTTCTAATCCAAATGGTGAAAGCCAGCATATGGAATATTGTCCCTGACAAAAAATTTGTATTGGATTTTCCATGAATGATGACCGTGTACTCATATAGTTCCACCTCATATTTAAGTTTAGGAATCCTGTGTGCTTGAATTAAATTTGATTATTCAGATACTTGATCTTGGGTATTCTGAGAATGTTGGTACGTATGTGTGTGCTGCTGATTAATGATCTGCTCCTTGGTCAACTTGGAGGAAGATTGATTTGTAGTTAGATTCTACCAGTGTTAGTGAAAAGACATGCATGGAATGGCCACAAAAAAATAAGTAAACATGTCCTCATTGTAAACTCAAGAGTCTAGAAGAGGCCATCTTCATGTAGAAGGATTATGTAATTCTGTATTTGTATAGAAGAATCTTAATATCAAGTGCCAGTTTTTTGTTTGCCTCTAACCATTTTCTGATATGTTCACTAGCTTATGGAAGTGACAGGGAAAAATCAGGATGAATGCATAGTGGCCCTACATGATTGTAATGGAGATGTGAACAAAGCTATCAATATATTGCTGGAAGGGAATTCAGACACAGTAAGTATTATTAATTGATTTGCATTGTTTACATTTGTCTCCAATTCCGTAGCACATTTTCAACTTCACCTTGTTTGGGGGTAGGGATGGAATGGATTATGGTGCCATTCCATATTTGTTTTAAGTTCCAGAAAGAACGATTACCTGAAAAGACTGTTTTTGTTATGTATGGTTTCTTCATGAAGTCGTAGAATCTGATGACTTGAAAGAGAACTTGGTGATCTACTCCAGCCTTACAGTTTCCAAAAATCTCTGTGCCTGTGTATATTTTCACCACCCCCACCTGAAAAGCATCTCTTGGCTCTGTTGCTTATGTTTCTTCATCTCAGTCCTCACCTCTGATTACTTCTTACATCTCTATTATAACAGAAAACCAGGATTTGCTGGTATATGTATTTGCTTATGTGGAATATTAAGTTTTCTTTTTTTTTTTTAATATTGGGTTAAGTTTGGTGAGCTTGCAGGCTCATGAGCTCAGGCCTTGGATTTTAAGAAGGATACAGCTAAAGCTACACCAGGCACTTGTCAGCCCTAAAATTTTGCTGTGTGTATATATTTATATTTATATATTATAGTTTTTATACATATGTATATATTTATTTATAAATATATATTTATTTAATAATTTTAAATTTTAAATAATTTAATTTTAAATTAAATTAAATTATTTAATAATATATTTAATAATATAAATATATTTATATATTTAATAATATAAATATATATATTTAATAATATAAATATATTTATATATTTAATATATATTATATATAATATTTATAATATTTGTTTAATAATATATAAATATATATACTTTATATATATATTTATATTTAATATATATATTTATATATTTATTTATTTTTTTGAGACAGCCTCACTCTGCCACCCAGGCTGGAGTGCAGTAGTGTGATCTTGACTCACTGCAACCTCCGTCTCCTGGGTTCAAGTGATTCTTTTGCCTCAGCCTCCCAAGTAGCTAGTACTACAGGCATGCGCCACCACGACCAGCTAATTTTTGTATTTTTAGTAGAGGTGGGGTTTCGCCATGTTGGCCAGACTGGTCTCAAACTCCTGACCTCAGGTGATCCACCCGTCTTGGCCTCCCAAAGTGTTGGGATTACAAGTGTCAGCCACCACACCTGACCTGTGTTTATGTTTCTTAAATTGAGGAAACTATTTTAGAGTAGATTAAAAAAAAATGACTCACCTAAAAGAGGATACAAAGATGAACACATCAATAACTACCTTTCCTTGGAAAATTTAAAACAAACAAACTGACCGTGTCAGTGTTCAGATTTAATTGAAGTCTCATTTTAGGGTCATGCTGCATTAGGTACAAGAAATACAAAAATGAACTCTGAGAAACTGAAAGCTAAAATGACTGTGTTTTTAGTTGATGTGAAACAAAGAGAATGAATTCTTTTAAAGTAAAAATTAACTAATGTGGAAAAGATTTCACTGTTTGAGTGTAGCAGTAATTGTTGGTAAAATTCCATGTAAGAGAACACTGGTACACAAGACAAACCATCAAATTTGTGATTTTTTTTTTTTGGGAAAACCATATTATATGATAAATTAAAATTTTGAATAGTTTTTGTTTACTGACCTGGGACTAAGTATCCTGGGTTTTGCAAAATATGGAGGATCTGTTTACCTTATCGCTAATGGGTACAGCAGAGAGTGGCTTTCAGTTATTTTCAAAGTGAACTGAAGAGCCTAACCGCCCTCTTTGTTTAGGGAAAAAAAAAAAAAAGAAAAAATCTTTGGGAATAAACAAAATAACCCAAATTGTTCACTGGAGAGGATCTTTTTGGATCTTTTTATGGTAGAGATAAGTCCAGACACTATTTTTTGTTGCCTTTCCTTTAGCTCCAGCAGATTTAATTCCTTTTCTCTGGTAGTTTGGTGAATTTTTAAGTTTTAAATGTCCAGTTTTCTCTTTCTGTTTTGAGTTTTAACACCCCCTCCTCCTTTGGGACCGAACCTGAAGGAGCTGGTTCTGGGCTATGTATTAGAAAGTAAGACTGACTGGGCACTGCGGCTCATGCCTGTAATCCCAGCACTTTGGAAGGCCTAGGTGGGCAGATCACGAGGTCAGGAGTTTGAGACCAGCCTGGTCAACATGGCGAAACCCCATGTCTACTAAAAATACAAAAAATTAGCCAGGTGTGGTGGTGGGCGCCTGCAATCCCAGCTACTCAGGCGGCTGAGGCAGGAGAATTGCTTGAACCCGGGAAGCAGAGGTTGTAGTGAGCCGAGATCGCGGCATTGCACTCCAGCCCAGGCGACAGTGCGAGACTCGGTCTCAAAAAAAAAAAAAAAAGAAAGCAAAGCTGAACTTTTCATGAAGAACACCTCTTTGGTTACCTCTTGAACGATTTTATAGTGTGGGCTATATCTGACTTCTTGTTTTCTTCAAAGATAAGAAAATAGCAAATGAAGTTCTGAATATAGTTGTGAAAGAATACACTTGTTCAGGGCTGAGTGGGCTGTGGGGGACAGAAGTAGAGGTAAAGTCTTTGTTTTAGTTGTTTGGTGTTTTGGGTTTTTTATTAAGACAGGGTCTCACTCCGTTGCCCAGGCTAGAGTGCAGTGGTGCCATCACGGTTTACTACAGCCTCGACCTCCCGGGCTTATGCCATCCTCCAGCCTGCCGAGTAGCCGGGACCACAGGCGCATGCCACTACGCTTGGCTAATCATTTTTATATTTTGTAGAGTTAGGGGGTCTCTGTGTTTCTATGTTGCTCAGGCTGGAGTCTTTGAAACCCTGGTTTGTTGAGGACCACTCTCTGGTACATCTTGTCTCTCATACTGTTTGCCTCATCTCTTACCTAGTTGCCATCTGCAGCACCTATGGCTAAACAGCTTTGATTATCTTCCCTTGACTGAGATAGAGTTAATTGGAGTAGGGTTGACAGAATATAAACACTGTGATGTTGCTAGGAGCAAGAGCATGAAGGCAAACGATTCTTTTCCTATTATCTAACCTTCCTCTGTGCTGAAACAAAATTATTACTTGGAAAAGGTGTTAAGTGGAATCGTCCATGATGTTTTTAAGGATAAATTTATTTTTTCTTATGTAAGTATATCTGTCACAAAGGAAGATATTGAACATAAGTACTGAACTTTTTGTTTCATCATAATGTTTGGTTGATGTGACAAAATTGTTTTGAAGTATCGGTCTCTTGAATTAATGTACTTAACTCTTTTTAGTAAGTTGTTTGTGTTGGTAGTTTTTGGCAAAGGCAAAGTGGTGGGAGAGTAATTTTTGAACTAGCTGGCTTCGAAGACTGCTGTTCTGATTATTATGTGGTGGCTGGGAGGACCTCTCCTCTTAGAGTTTCTTCAGACCTGTTCTGCAACTAGCAAAATACCGATAACAGAGGTTGCCAGAAATTCTCTTGGAAATCCTCCATAATTACTTGGTTAACTTTTTAAAGTATGCATGTGTGTATACTTTGCAGACTTCAGCAAAATACACAGTAATCTTTTTAGCAGTTACTATGGTATTGTAAAGATTGCTTCTTAAAGGTTCTTTTCCCTATTTGTGCCCCCCCCCCTCCGCCCGATAAGTTGTCTTTGTAGAGCTCATAAACCAAGACTTTGCTTGAGGGGCAGTAGGATGGGGAGGGTATCTTTTTTTTATTTTTATTTTTTTGAGATGGGAGTCTTGCGCTGTCACCCAGGCTGGAGTGCAATGGCATGATCTCAGCTCACTGCAACCTCTGCCTCCCAGGTTCAAGCAGTTCTCCTGCCTCAGCCTTCTGAGTAGCTGGGATTACAGACATGTGCCACCACGCCTGGCTAATTTTTTTTTTTTTTTTTTTTTGAGATGGAGTTTTGCTCTTGTTGACCAGGCTGGAGAGTAATGGCGTGATCTCGGCTCACCACAACCTCCTGCCTCCCGGGTTCAAGCGATTCTTCCGCCTCAGCCTCCCGAGTAGCTGGGATTACAGGAATGCGCCACCACGCCCGGCTAATTTTGTATTTTTAGTAGAGATGGGGTTTCTCCATGTTGGTCAGGCTGGTCTTGAACTCCCAACCTCAGGTGATCCACCCGCTCAGCCTCCCAAAGTGGTGGGATTACAGGCATGAGCCACTGCACCCGGCTGCTAATTTTTGTATGTTTAGTAGAGATGGGGTTTCACCATGTTGGCCAGGGTGGTCTGGAACTCCTGACCTCATGATCTGCCCACCTTGGGCTCCCAAAGTGCTGGGATTACAGGTGTGAGCCACCGTGCCTGGCCAGGGTATCATTTGCTATATGAAATGGGGTAAAGTGTTTCTCAGATGTTTTACAAAGACAGCTGGCCCCTTTATAAAGATAGAGTACCTTTCGGCGAGGCTGTGTAAAGATGTACATTGTGTATACATACACTTTATGCCAACTCTTCTGGGATGATTTTTCCAGGACCTCTGGAATTTACTTTTTGTATTCTAACCTAAGAGGACTGGATTCTGTTTTACACAGTTGTCTAGTATTTTCATATTAGCAAACATAATAAATTGAGTTTGTTCAGTGTGGGCATTATTTTCTCTGGCATAGATAAGCTTTATTGTTTAATTAGAAAAGAAATGCAGAAAAATATTAAAGATTAAATCAAATTAAACATCCTCACTTAAATAATGACTTATACCTCTTCCTTCAGTAAGTACATAGGCTCCTATTTGAACTAAAAAATGTAATTCTATATGCTGTTTGCTGATAGCTTGCTTTTTCTATCAAGGACCTCTTTCTATATGTACCTATGTAACTGGTAAAATGGCTACATACTGCTCCATTTATGGATACACTAGACTACTTAGTCTCCTGAATTTGATATTTTGGGAATCCGCCTCCCCTCCTTTTATGCTGTTGATCATTTTGTCTGCACATAAATGTTTGAACAATTCTTACGTTATTATTATTATTATTTTTGATACAGAGTCTCGCTCTGTCACCCAGGCTGGAGTGCAGTGGTGTGATCTTGGCTCACTGCAACCTCCACCTCCCAGGTTCAAGCCTTCTAGGTTCAATTGATTCTCCTGCCTCAGCCTCCTGAGTAGCTGGGATTACAGGTGCCTGCCACCACTCTCAGCTAATTTTTGTATTTTTAGTAGAGATAAGAGTTTCACAATGTTGGCCAGGATAGTCTCCAACTCCTGGCCTCAAGTGATCTTCCTGCTTTGGCCTCCCAATGTGCTGGGATTACAGGCGTGAGCCAGTGTGCTCGGCCACGTTGTTTTATTTGAATAAGGGCCTAGAAGTAGAATTGCTGGGTTGAAAGAGTATGCACCAAATAGGCCAGGCGCAGTGGCTTATGCCTGTAATACCAGTACTTTGGGAGGCCGAGGTAGGTGGATCACCTGAGGTCAGGAGTTCGAGAGCACCCTGGCCAACATGGTGAAACCCCGTCTCTACTAAAATTACAAAAATTCACTGGGTGTGGTGGTGTACGCCTATAACCCCAGCTACTCGGGAGGCTGAGACAGGAGTTATCACTTGAACCCAGGAGATGCAGGTTGCAGTGAGCCGAGACTGTGCCATTGCACTCCACTCTGGGTGACAGAGTGAGACTCTGTCTCAAAAAAAAAAAAAAAATTGGGGGGTACTATTTCTAAGTAACCTTCTAGAAAGGTTACAATAGATGCATGCTCACCAGAACTGTATGATAATACCTCATTGTTTCACCTTAACTATCAGGTGATAGTATATTCAGTCTTCATTATTAAAGCTTAGAGGTGGAACATAATTTATATCTTTTTCATATCCATTTTATATCTAATTAAATATGTGAGTTCATCACAGCTTTGCAGAAGACCAGATATTCCATTTCAAAAAAAGAGTTTGGAAGTTGGCTTCCACTGTTATGGAAATAATTCAACTTATCACCCAAATTTTAGTTTATTAATTTCCAGTGCTAATGTTTACTTTGGATATATAATGTCAAATTTTGTTTTTCTGTAAGATTTTTAAAAAGCATAAAACAGTTACTCTTAATTTTGGATGGAGTCATTTCCAGTCCCTTCTGAAATAAGGCAGATTATGAATAAGTAAATGGAAACTATTGGGCCAATTTTAGGATTTCTCTGTAACTACCCTGCTTGATAATTTTTATATCCACTTATAGTCAAGAATGTAGTATCTTTTTCTTTCTCAGCCATTTATATATATATATATATGGTAGATTAGATTTGGTATCACCATTAGGGGAGAGGTGGAGAAGGGAGGTTATATAAATTATTTGACTTCTCACTAGAAGAATTCTTTGGAGGTTAAAAATTTAGGTGCTTTATAAATTTTTTAAAAACCCACCAAAACCAAGCTAAAATTTTACTTATCTGCCATTAAATTGTTTTAGATAATTAGTTTGAATAATGGAACAGGCAAGGTTGTATTCCTGGAGCTTTTGGGGCATCATTCTAAGTAATTTTGTGGTCTTTGAATTAATAAGTAGATTTAAGGCCTAATAGAGAGGTAAGTGAGGTGGTGTAGAATAGGAGCTTGGGGAAATGACTTTTACTGTATTCCTAAATTTGCATAGGAAAGGGCTTTATGTTGGGAAAATGTACAGTATTTTGTCAGGTCAGCTAATAGCTGTAATTATTTAGCAACAGGAGCTTAGCAAGAGGATTGTTACCTTCATCATCAATAAAGTAGAACTATAGGGAAAGAATTTAAATGATAAGCAGGTGAGCTGCAAGCTGTGGGTAGTTAGGTTTGAAAGATACGTGCATGTGCCGGGCGCGGTGGCTCACGCCTGTAATCCCAGCACTTTGGGAGGCCAAGGCGGGCAGATCACGAGGTCAGGAGATCGAGACCATCATGGCTAACACGATGAAACCCCATCTCCACTAAAAATACAAAAAATTAGTTGGGCGTGGTGGCAGGCGCCTGTAGTCCCAGCTACTCAGGAGACTGAGGCAGGAGAATGTTGTGAACCTGGGAGGCGGAGCTTGCAGTGAGCTGAGAGGGCGCCATGCACTCCAGCCTGGGCGACAGAGCGAGACTCCGTCTCAAAAAAAAAAAAAAAAAGAAAGATACATGCATGTGCCTTTGATAATTGTACACACTTTGAATGATAAATGATTAACAGCCGTTCTCTCTGATAGACTTCATGGGAGACTGTAGGGTGTAAGAAAAAGAATTTTGCAAAAGAAAATTCAGAAAACAAAGAGAATAGAGAGAAGAAAAGCGAGAAAGAATCGAGTCGTGGACGTGGAAACAACAACCGGAAAGGAAGAGGCGGCAATCGTGGCAGAGAATGTAAGTACAGACTTTCTCCTCAGTTTTTTCTCTTCTTTCATCTCAAGTGACCCTCCCGCCTCAGCCTCCCAAAGTTTTGGGATTACAGGCATGAGTCACTGCGCTCAGCTTTCTCAAATTTTTTCTTAGTTTCCATACATTCTGAACGACTGAAAGATTAGTCCATAGTATGCTCATAAATTCGTTTCCTCAATGCAGAATTTGTTCTAATAGTTAACACTAGAAATGAGTGGCACCTGAGTAGTTTCATAAGCGCCTCCCATGTGGTTTCGTATCAGCATTGACCTGGGCTGTAGGCAGGTGGTTGTGTAGTGTGATGACTCCCTTCTGTTATGAGTCAGACACATTTGTTAATTTTAGAATGGTGTGTGTGTGGCAAAGAAGGGGCCAGGGGCCATTTAGTTACAGGTAGATAAAGCTGTTTTATATTCTCCATTTATAGACACTCATGGTATAGACAAGGGTTAGATTAAGAGGAAAGTTGCTGAATAGGCAGGATTTCTCATAGGCAGGTCTCATTTCCATTAGACCTAGGTTTTCTAGGTTTTGTCACTGTTTATGCAAAACAACCTTGTCTGCTCTGGCAGTGTGTCAGTGTAGCTAAGTTATGAAAGAATAAAATGTAAATATTTAACATATCACCCTGAGACTCTTGCTGTCTCATATATTCCACTGATATTTATTGAGTATCTACTATGTAGTGGATACTTTTATAGGCATACAGCAATGAATAAAGTAAGTAAAATCTTTGCCTTTCTAAAACTTTTAATGAAGGTCAAATGGGATGTAACAATAAAGAAAATAAAATATTTTATATTAATATATTTTAATGATGTTATGTAGAAATTATGTTATAGGGAAAAACAGAGATGCAAATTATGGGAAGAGGTCTGGCAAATTTAAGTGGGTTGCCAAGGAAAGCCTCACTGGAATTCATGTGAGTCAGCCTCTGAAAGAGGTGAGGGGAGCAAGCCATGCCAATATCCTTCATAAAATTTCTGTATTATGTAGAGCTATTAATGCCAATATAGGGATGAGAAAAAGAAAAGACTGCGTGTTGGCATCTTCCTGTTAGTATCCTAGAAAAACCCAACTCCAACACTTTAGTTTTTCTAAGAACTCAGGGTTTCCTTGGTATTGCTATTTTGCTATTCTGTGCCTTTCCAGGCTTTGAACCTAATTAATGAGCAAATTCTGTGATACATTAACGTAGTTGCATAATGGAAGTAGTTTTTTTGAAGCAAAAACTTCACAGCAAGTCCACAAAGAAGAAAGAAAAATCAGTATGTTAATTTATTTTCAGAATTTTCATGTGAATTAAGGAAGATGTGATTTCATATATATATATTTTTTTCACTTTTTTTGAGACAAGGTCTCACTCTTTCACCCAGGCTGAAGTGCAGTGGCATGATCACAGCTCACTGCAGCCTTGACCTCCCTGGGCTCAGGTGATCCTCCCACCTCAGCCTCCTGAGTAGCTGGGACTACTAGCTGCACGCTGTCACAACCATACCTGGATAATTTTTGTATTTTTTTGTATTTTGTATGTTGTATTTTTTCTGAGACAGAGTCTTGCTCACTTTCCCAGGCTGGAGTGCAGTGAGGAGATCTCGGCTCACTGCAACCTCCGCCTGTTGGGTCCAAGCAATTCTCCTGCCTTAGCCTCTCGAGTAGCTGGGACTATAGGTGCGCGCCACCACACTTGGCTAATTTTTATATTTTTTGGTAGAGACAGGGTTTCCGTGTGTTAGCCAGGCTGGTCTTGAACTCCTGGCCTCAAGTGATCCACCCGCCTCAGCCTCCCAAAGTGCTGGAATTATAGGTGTGAGCCACTGTGCCTGGCCAATTTTTGTATTTTTTTGTATGTTGCCCAGGCTGGTCTCAAGCTCTTGGGCTCAAGAGATCTGCCCCCCTCAGCTGGAAATTACAAGTGCTGGAATTACAAGTGTAAGCCACTGTGCCTGACCTCATTCAGTTTTTAAGTCACTTTTGTTTTTGTTTTTCCTGTTTTTGAACCCGTTGTTTAAATTGTAGCCTGTTTGTCATTCCTTCTTTGCCTTTAATAGGTGCTTGATAAGGTTATGTACAAGAGGTTTGGAAATGGAAATTTGATTTTTCTGCTCTTTTCCCCCTAGTTAGAGGTGAAGAAAATGGAATTGATTGCAATCAAGTGGACAAACCTTCAGATCGTGGCAAGCGAGCCCGGGGTAGAGGTAAGCTAGAGTAAGAGGGAAGAAAATGCTTTCAATTAGGGGGAAGAAGCAGGCAGTTGCGTTGCTGGACTGTGACTAGGGATGGCAGTGTGTTCTGAAAGAATAGCAGGTCATCTAAAATCTGATCATTTGTTTACTGATGCCTGTAAATGAACTATTTTGGGTTATGTAGTTTTGAAGAAACCAAAGGGTTGTTTTTGGATGAGCTGAGAAAGCCCTATGAATAATTTAAAACTTAAAGCTCTAACCAAAAGCATTGACAAATTATAATTGTATTACGTTTGGAATACAATGCAATAGGGTTTTTTAAACCTTATTTTAAAAATACTTTATTGCTAAAAAAGGCTATGATCATTTGAGCTTTCAGTGAGTTGTAGTCTTTTTGCTCTAGTCCTCACTTCTAGCTATTTTGAAGTGTATAATACGTAATTGTTAAGTAGTCATCTTACTCTACTGTTGAACATTAGAACTTATTCCCTTTTTTTGAGACCCTGCCTGGCTAACACAAGGAAACCCTGTCTCTACCAAAAAATATAAAAAATAGCTAAGTGTGGTGGCACGCACCTGTAGTCCCAGCTACTTGAGAGGCTAAGGCAGGAGAATTGCTTGGACCCAAGAGGTGGAGGTTGCAGTGAGCCGAGATCTCCTCACTGCACTCCAGCCTGGGCAAGTGAGCAAGACTCTGTCTCAGAAAAAATACAAAATACAAAAAAATACAAAAATTATCCAGGCATAATTAAATGCAGGGTCTTACTTTGTCACCCAGGCTGGAGTGCAGTGGCATCATCTCAGCTAACTGCAACCTCCACCTCCTGGGCTCAAACAATCCTCCTACTTACCCTCCTGAGTAGCTGGGACTACAGGTGCACGCCACCATGCCCAGCTAATTTTTGTATTTTTGCTAGACATGGGGTTTTACCATGTTGGCCAGGCTGGTCTCAAACTCCTGGCCTCAAGTGATCCACCTGCCTAATCCTCCCAAAGCGGTAGGATTACAGGCATGAGCCACCGAGCCCGGCCTAGAATTTATTCCTTCTCTCTGTGTTTTAACCTATCCACCAATCTCTCTTTATTCCCCACCCTCTATACCCATCACCTTCTCTGCCTCTGGTAACTATCATTCCACTCTCTACCTGCATGAGATAACCTTTTTAGCTCCCACATGAGTGAGTACGTGTGATATTTATCTTTCTGTGTCTGGTTTATTTTATTTAACACAATGTCTTCCAAGTCCATTCATGTTGCTCCAAAGGACGTGATTTCATTCTTTTATGGCTGAGTAGTATTCCAACCTGTAAATATATCACTTTTTAAAATCCATTCATCTGTTGATGAACACTTAGGTTGATTCTCTATATTTGTGAATATTGTGAATAGTGCTTCACTTCAAAATAGCTAGAAGTGAGGACTTGAAAAGTTCCCAACACATAGAAATGATAAATGCTCATGGTAACGGATATCCTAAATACCTCAACTTGATAATTATATATTCTCTGCATGTAACAAAGTACCACATGTACCCCATAAATTTGTTTAAATATTATGTATCTGTAAAAAGTTAAAAATTAAAAAAAAATAGAAATTGCCACAGCCACCACAACCTGGCAAACATGAAGCACTATTGGTTTCCTTTTCTTTGTATAAATATCTGCTAATGGGATTGCTGGATCATACGGTAATTCAATTTTTTGTTTTTGATAAATCTCCATACTGTTTTCCAAAATGGCTGTACCAGTTTATATTCCCACCAATAGTGTATGAGAGTTCCCTTTTCCCTGTATCTTCACCAGCATCTGTTTAATTTGCTTAATTAGTTAAATGCAGTGTCATGATCATAACTCATTGCAGTCTTGAACTCCTGGGTTCAGGCAATCTTCCTGTTTCAGCCACCTCAGTAGTTGGGATTACAGGCTATTTTTTGTCTTTTTGATAATAGCCGTTCTAACTGGGGTAAGATGATATCTCATTGTGGTTTTCATTTGTATTTTATTGATGTTTAGTGATGAGCATTTTTTGTGTACCTTTTGGCCATTTGTATATTGTCTTTTTAGATCCTTTGTCTACTGTTTTTTTTTCTCTTAAGAGACAGTGTCTCACTCTGTTGCCCAGGCTGGAGTGCAGTGGCATGATCATAACTTACTGCAACCTTGAAATCCTGGGCTCAAGTGATACTTCCACCTCAGCCTCCTGAGCAGCTGGGACTATAGGCATGAGCCCCACCATGCCTGGCTAATTTAAAGAAAAAAAAAAATTTTTTTTTTAAGAGATGGGGTCTTGCAATGTTGCCCAGGTTGGTCTGGAACTCCTGGCCTCAAGCTGTCCTCCTACCTCAGTGTCCCAAATCTCAGGGATTACAGGTGTGAGCTACTATGCCCAGCTGTTTGCATACTTTTTAATGGGATTATTTATATTTTGGCTGTTGAGTTGTTTAGATTCCTTGTATTGTCTGAATATTAGTCCCTTTTCAGATGAATATCATCCTGCAAATTTCTTAGATGATACTTCCTTAATGCTGAGGCTAAATTGGAGACCATATTTTTAAATCCCAGGGATTCAGGCCGGGTGTGGTGGCTCATACCTGTAATCCCAGCACTTTGGGAGGCCAAGGTGGGCAGATCACTTGACATTAGTAGTTCGAGACCACCCTGGCCAACATGGTAAAACTCCATCTCTAATAAAAATACAAAAATTAGCTGGGCATGGTGGTGTGTGCCTGTAGTTCCAGCTACTCGGGACGCTGAGGCACGAGAACTGGGGGAAGTGGAGGCTGCAGTGAGCCGAGATTGTACCATTGCACTCTAGCCTGTGTGACAGAGTGATGCTCTGTCTCAAATAAAAAAATCCCAGGGATTCAGTATTATTCTAGGTAAAGTTTCTTGTCATATGCCACATAGTAAATTGGTAAAAACCAAGTATAATTCTGTCTTCCACAAGCTGAAACTGCTTAGTATTTTTTATATTTAGGACCAGGTTTCTGTAAAGTAAGTTTCAAACTTACTATTGTCAAAGATAGAAAGATGGCAACGAAGAGTGTTGGCACGTACACCTCTGCTAATTTATTAGGTCCTAAACCCTGAAGTACACACCTTGGGAAGAAAAAGAAAATAGAAGGTAACAAAAAGAAAGAATAAAATGACTTTATTGACCCCTAAATTTTACTGTGTCTCACCAGGGAGGGCGGTCACAGTATAAGACCAACGTTATGTGTGTGATTAGTCCTTACCACCCTGTTCTGGTTAAAATATCATTGTTCTGATATTCCTTTGTTCTTAAGGTTTTAGGAATACATAGTAACCCAGCTTCTTCCCCTCTTACCAGGGAGAGGGTTTTCTTTCCTAGGGTATTTGATCTCTCACATGCTTCTGCTGGCATTAGTGGGCGTCTTAGAGAAATCGTCAAATCTTCATGACTGAAATCCCACTACTGACTACACTGTTGAATCCTTTACTTTTACCCTTTGACAGTAGGAATCTAGTCACAGTATGTATTTGGATTGGTTGTTTAGAGACATGTTTAAGGATTACAAGCTGATCCATGTCATAAATCAGACAGATTTATTGTTATAAAAACACATTATAGGGGGGCCGGGCACCGTGGCTCACATCTGTAATCCCAGCACTTTTGGAGGCCGAGGCGAGCAGATCACGAGGTCAGGAGTTCGAGACCAGCCTGGCCATCATAGTGAAACCCTGTCTCTACTCAAAATACAAAAAAATTAGCTGGGTATGGTGGCATGTGCCTGTAGTCCCAGCTACTTGGAGGCCGGGGCAGAGAATTGCTTGAACCTGGGAGGCGGAGGTTGCTGTGAGCCGAGATCATGCCATGGCACTCCGGCCTGGGTGACAGTGAGACTCTGTCTCAAAAACAAAAAAAAAAAAACAAAAAAAAACACCACACATTATAGGGGATAACCAGTGAATTGGAGATTGAGTATCTGTTAGGATGGGTACTGTTATTACTTTGAGGAAAAAGTTGATATGTTTACCTTGGTTCTATTTAGACTAATAAACCCCAAATAAATAAAAGTTAACAGACCATGTAAAATCACCATAGTTTTTCTTAATCGCAAGTATGCTAGATAAATTCTGCAGGGGGTATGGTGTTTTATTTGACCTGTTCTTCCTATTCTTACTGGGACTGTATGGTGGCTGTTCATATAATTTTCTCATCAGTATATATACCGGTGAATAGGAACAGAATGCAAACAATCAAAAACATAGTCCATTTAAACTATCTGGGCGACAAAATGGGCACTTAATTTTACTGTCAAAATCTATTACGTTCGCTTTATATAAAAGCAGCTATGTAGGCAAACTACCTACCTATTTTTTATTTGTTTTGGTTTTTGTTCTTAGCTTGATCAGTTGGCCTTGCTGGATAGTAAGTTGTCGTAAGTGTGGAGCAGAGTTTGCATTCAAGCTGGAGCCACTTGAAAAATCATTCCTATAGAGTATATCTTTCATAAGCTTTTTTGCTAGTGGAGTGTAATTGAGGATTTTTGCAAAGGATTTGGGTTGAAGCGGAATTATTAGAATGTCAGGTAAGTATGTTTACCAGCAGGCCCTTTGACAGCTTGGGTGAAAGAGGGGCTGCTGGCTGCTGGCAGTTCTGCTGAGATTTTTTTTAGGACTTTCCTGAAGCTTAGCTTCAGAGTTGTAAAAAGCAACTGCAAGGAGTGGGGCCTGTCTTGGGATCTGCCAGATATGTGATGATCATAGGGGAAGGAGCAACTGTCTTATATCTTAACAATTCTGTTCTTCTCACCAGTATCCTGAAGAGAGGAAAGAGAAAAGCAGAGAGAAGTTTTCCATTTCATAGAGATAATGTGAAAATTACTATGATTCTGACATTATTTTTTGTAGTGTACCTCTTCTCTCCCCTTCCTTCCTTCCTTCCTTCCTTCCCTCCCTCCCTTTCCCCCCTTCCCTCCTTCCCCGCTTCCCCCCTTCCACCCTTCCTTCCTTCCTTCCTTCCTTCCTACCTTCCTACCTACCTACCTACCTTCCATCCTTCCATCCCTCCTTGCAGGAGTCTGTGTTGCCTTGGCTAGTATCAAACTCATGAACTCAAGCAGTTCTATATCAATGTATTTAAAAAATAATTTCAGGCCAAGTACAGTGGCTTATGCCTGTAATTCTAGCACTTTGGGAGGCTGAGGTGAGAGGATCACTTGAGCTCAGGAGTTCAAGATCAGAGTGGACAATGTAGCAGGCTTTTTTTGTTTAAAAAAAAAAAAATTAGCCGGGCATGATGATGTGCATCTGTAGTCCCAGAAACTCAGGAGGCTGAGGTGGTAGGATGGCTTGAGTCTGGGAAGTTGAGGCTGCTGTGAGCTGTGATTGTGCCACTACACTCCAGCCTTCAGATATTTTAAGCTTTTCAGACAGTAGGCCTTTATTTACTATCGTATCTTTCCCCGTCTTTTATTTATTTGTATTTCTAGATATATATATATATCCAGAATATATATATATATCCAGAATATATATATATATCCAGAATATATATATATATCCAGAATATATATATATATCCAGAATATATATATATATATCCAGAATATATATATATATATCCAGAATATATATATATATATCCAGAATATATATATATATATCCAGAATATATATATATATATATATATATATATATATATCCAGAATATATATATATATATATATATATATATATATATGAAGTAAATAAGCCCATATTATTTTTTTGGTCTTGACATAATTTAGGAGTTCCAAAGCAATATAAAATTTCGTGTGGCTCACCGTTTTTATTTACTGTATTTTTATTTATTTATTTTTGAGACAGGTTCTTGCATTGTCACCCAGGCTGGTGTGCAGTGGTGTGATCTTGGCTCAGTGCACTCTCCACCTCCCAGGCTCAAGCCATCTTCCCACCTCAGCGTCCCTAGTAGCTGGGACTACAGGTGCACGCTACTATGCCCAGCTAATTTTTGTAGAGAGAGGGTTTTGCCATGTTGCCCAGGCTGGTCTCAAACTCTTGAGCTCAAACAACCCGCCCACCTCAAACTCCCAAAGTGCTTGCATTACAGGCATGAGCCACAGCGTCTGGCCTGCTATTTCATTTAACTTTGTTTTGAATGTGCTTTATGCAGAAAAAGATATCAATATACTTAATGTACTTGACATAGATCCATTTTTTGTACTTTGCTGTAGTTGAGTGTGTTTATGTATTAGAAATGACGCTCGCCGGGTGCGGTGGCTCACGCCTGTAATCCCAGCACTTTGGGAGGCCAAGGCGGGCAGATCACGAGGTCAGGAGATCGAGACCACCCTGGCTAACACGGTGAAACCCTGTCTCTACTAAAAAAAAAAAATACAAAAAAAGATTAGCTGGTGTGGTGGCGGGCGCCTGTAGTCCCAGCTACTCAGGAGGCTGAGGCAGGAGAATGGCGTGAACCTGGGAGACGGAGCTCGTAGTGACCCGAGATCACGCCACTGCACTCCAGCCTGGACAACAGAGCAAGACTCCGTCTCAAAAAAAAAAAAAAAAAAAAAAAAAAAAAAGAAATGACACTCAGGATTTGGATTAAAGCAGAATTATTAGAATGTCAGGATTTGGATTAAAGCGGAATTATTAGAATGTCAGCTAAGTATGTGTTTGCCAGCTTTGCTTGAAGATTTGATTCCATGATACAGTTTTTTGTTGTTGAAACTGGGTCTGTCTCTGTCGCCCAGGCTGGAGTGAGTGCAGTGGCGTGATCTCGGCTCACTGCAACCTCCACCTCCCAGGTTCAAGCAATTCTCCTGCCTTAGCCTCCCGAGTAGCTGGGACTACAGGAGTGTGCCACCATGCCCGGCTAATTTTTTGTATTTTTAGTAGAGATGGGGTTTCACCGGTTACACTTATTTATTTATTTAGAGACAGAGTCTCACTCTGTCTCCAGGCTGGAGTGCAGTGGTGCAATCTCGGCTCACTGCAACCTCCGCCTCCGGGGTTCAAGCAATTCTCCTGCCTCAGCCTCCCATGTAGCTGGGACTACAGGCTCAGCTACTTCTTGTATTTTTTAGTAGAGACGGGGTTTCACCATGTTGGCCAGGATGGTCTCAATCTCTTGACCTCATGATCTGCCCGCCTCGGCCTCCCAAAGTGCTGGGATTACAGGCATGAGCCACCGCACCTGGCCAGTTATTTTTTATTTTTATTTTTTGAGACGGGAATTTCTCTCTTGTTGCCCTGGCTGGAGTGCGATGGTGGGATCTTGGCTCACCGCAACCTCCGCCTCCCGGGTTCAAGCAATTCTCCTGCCTCAGCCTCCTGAGTACCTGGGATAACAGGCATGCGCCACCACACCCAGCTAATTTTGTATTTTCAGTAGAGACGGGATTTCTCTATGTAGGTCAGGCTTAAATGTGTATTTAAATTACTCTTCTTTTGTATGTTTCTTTATCTTGTGTATTCATAAATGGTTTATCAGCTTATATGTATTATTTTGGTCTTTTGGTGAGATTGAGTCAAGTAAGGTAGTGAACTATAGTTTCTTTTTTTAGAGACAGGGTCTCACTCTGTTACCCATCCTGGAGTACAGTGGCATGATCATAGCTCACTGCAACCTCCAACTCTTACGTTCAAGCAATACTCCTGCTGCCTTAGCTTCCTGAGTAGATAGGACTGCAGGTGCACATCACAATGCCCAGCTAATTTTCAAAAGCATTGTAGGCAGGTCTCTGTGTGTTGCCCAGGCTGGTCTTGAACTCCTGGCTCCAAGCAGTCCTCCTCCCTTGGCCTCCTAAAGCAGAGGGATTACAGGCACAAGCCACTGCTTTGGCTGGTAATGAATTACACTTGAAGTTACAGGGGTTGGTTTCCTTCTGGATGGAAGAAAAATAATGCAAAAAAGGCAACAATAGTTTACTCCCTAACCTTTCTCACTGCTTTACCTTACTGTTTTGTATTTAGTGACTCAGATTAGTTCCTCTACTTTTTCTTTCTTTCTTTCTTTTTTTTGAGACGTAGTCTTGCTCTGTTACCTAGGCTGGAGTGCAGTGGCACAATCTCGGCTCATTGCACGCTCCCCCTCCTGGGTTCACGCCATTCTCCTGCCTCAGCCTCCCGAATAGTTGGGACTATAGGCACCCGCCAGCACATCGGGCTAATTTTTTGTATTTTTAGTAGAGATGGGGTTTCACTGTGTTAGCCAGGATGGTCTTGATCTCCTGATCTCCTGATCTCGTGATCCGCCTGCCTTGGCCTCGTAAAGTGCTAGGATTACAGGTGTGAGCCACTGCACCCGGCCTAGTTCCTCTACTTTTAAAACTAATTATTGCATGAATACGGTCTATATAGTACAAGTGCAAAGTAATTTTGAGCACCTACTATGTTTTAACATTCTACTTAAAAATTTTTTTTTTAAGGTAGAGAAGGGGCTCTTGCTCTGTTGCCCAGGGTGATCTCAAACTACTGTGGCTCAAGTGATCCTCCCATCTTGACCTACCAAGGTGCTGGGATTACAGACATGAGCCACCAGACCCAGCTTACGTTTAAATTTCGAATCCTCTGTAGTACCTTCTTTGGGAGTCTTGCTGAGTCCTTGTTCCACATAGCATTTAATAAAATGCTGATTCTCAAATCAGTTACTGAACAGATAGGTTATTTCCTGTAATTATATAATGCCATTATTGTGCCTCTATACATGAGAGTTTAATCCATGAAAGACTCCATATTTATGAAGTTGGGATTACAGATCAGTCTTTTTTTTTTTTTTTTTTTTAAAAGACAGAGTCTCGCTCTGTCGCCCAGGCTGGAGTGCAGTGGTGCGATCTTGGCTCACTGCAACCTCTGCCTCCCGGGTTCAAGGGATTCTCCTGCCTCAGCCTCCCGAGAAGCTGGGACTACAGAGATTGAGACCATCCTGGCTAACACAGTGAAACCCTGTCTCTACTAAAAATACAAAAAAATTATCCAGGCATGGTGATGCACACCTGTAATCCCAGCCGCTCGGGAGACTGAGGCACAAGAATCATTCGAACCTGGGAGGCTGAGGTTGTGGTGAGCCAAGATTACGCCACTGCACTCCAGCCTGGGTGACAGAGCAAAACTCTGTCTCAAAAAATAAAAAAACCTTGAACAATCATTCAACAGAGATGTAGTAGAGTCCCAGGGCTTGAGGAGGAAAGGTACAGCATTTACCATAATATGGTTTATTCGCTTTGATAATCTTTGGAAACGTTGGACTTGGTTTTTGTGATTAAAAGACTCTGGATCTTTATTCTGAGCTGCTAGATTAATCTGTTCATTCCAGATAACAATGCAGGGAAATGGTATATACACAGAAACCAATGTTACTAGTAGCGTTACTACCAGGTGAGTAGGAAACAATAATTCTATTATCTTGCTAGAATTTATGGGGACGATGGATTAGATTTTTTAATTTTTAAAAATTTTTTGTTTGGCTGGGCGCGGTGGTTCACGCCTGTAATCCCAGCACTTTGGGAGGCTAAGGCGGGCGGATCACGAGGTCAGGAGTTTGAGACCAGCCTGGCCAAAATGGTGAAACCCCGTCTCTAATAAAAATACAAAAATCAGCCAGGCGTGGTGGCAGGCACCTGTAATCCCAGCTACTCAGGAGGCTGAGGCGGGAGAATTGCCTGAACCTGGGAGGTGGAGGTTGCAGTGAGCCGAGGTGGCGCCACTGCACTCCAGCCTGGGCTACAGGGTGAGACTCTGTCTCAAAAAAAAAAAAAATAAATAAAAAACAACTGTTTTTGTTTTTTCCAAGACCGAGTCTTACTTTGTCACCCAGGCTGGAGTGCAGTGGCGCCATCTCGGCTCACTGCGACTGCTGCCTCCCAGGTTCAAGCAATTCTCCTGCCTCAGCCTCCCTAATAGCTGGCATTACAGGCATGCGCCACCATGTCTGGCTAATTTTTGTATATATATATACATTTTTTTTAGTAGAGATGGGATTTCACCATGTTGGCCAGGCTGGTCTTGAACTGATGACCTCAAGTAATCCACCTGCCTCAGCCTCCCAAAGTGCTAGGATTACAGCCACGAGCCACTGCTCCCAGCCTAAGAAAGAAAATATTCTTTACAAAATTTACATACCATACATTTCATCCATTTAGTGTACAATTGAATGGTTTTTAGTATATTCACCAAGTTGTGCAATCATCACCACAATCAATTTTAGAACATTTTCCACACCGCAGAAGTATACCTTACCCTTTATCATTTCACCAATTCTTTCATTCTTCCACCTCAACCCTGAGCACCAGTAATCGCCTTTCTGTTTCTGTAGGTTTTTGTGTTCTGGACATTTCCTGTAAATGGAATTGTATAATATGTGGTCTTTTGTAACTGCTTCTTTCTCTTAGATAATGTTTTGGGTTCCCCATCGCCTTTACCCTGAAGGGATTAACTTAATGTTTTAAACATTCATCCATGTTGTAGTATGTATCAGTACTTCATTCCTTTTTATGGCAATATAATATAATGTTGTATGAATATACTGCATTTTTTTTTCAGTTCAAGGTTTTAAGTCCTGAGAATAGTTTCCTTGTTTTGTAGCTTGTTTAATTTTGGCCTGTATTCTTGCCAAAAGCTATAGACTGAAAGTTTTCTTCTTAGAGCTAATTAGCTGAATTTCTTAACATTCTTGTAAGTCACAGTAATACCTCTGTGTGAAGTCTTACTTTTGCCTTCTTAAAAAAACATTTATTAAAAAAATTTATTGTAGAGGTGGCATCTCGCTTTGTTGCCCAGGCTGGTTTTGAACTCCTGGCCTCAAGCGATCCTCCTGCCTTGGCCTCCAAAAGTGCTGGGATTACAGGTGTGAGCCACCATGTCAGGCCTCAATTTGTTGTATAAACATATACCCACAAGCACAATTTCATGATCATATGGTCAATCATTGTATTTTTTGAGGAACTGCCATACTGTTACCCATAGTAGCTGTACCATTTTACTTTTTTTTTTTTTTTTTTGAGACGGAGTCTTGTTCAGTTGTCCAGGCTGGAGTGCAGTGTTGTGATCTCGGCTCACTGCAAGCTCCGCCTCCGGGTTCACGCCATTCTGCCTCAGCCTCCCGAGTAGCTGGGACTACAGGCGCCTGCCACTACGCCTGGCTAATTTTTCTTTTTTTTGTATTTTTAGTAGAGATGAGGTTTCACCGTGTTAGCCAGGATGGTCTCGATCTCCTGACCTTGTGATCCGTCCGTCTCGGCCTCCCAAAGTGCTGGGATTACAGGCATGAGCCGCTGCACCTGGCCCCATTTTACGTTTTTACCAGCAGTGCACAATGGTGTGCTCCACATCTTTGTCAACACTTGGTTTTTTTTTTGTTTTTTTTTTTTAAAGATAGAGCCTCACTCTGTCACCCAGGCTGGAGTGCAGTGGCACGATCTCAGCTCACTGCAACCTCTGCCTCCCGGGTTCCAGCATTTCTCCTGCCTCAGCCTCCCAGGTAGCTGAGACTACTGGCGCGCGCCACCACGCCTGGCTAATTTTTGCATTTTTTTAATAAAGACGGGGTTTCACCATATTGGCCAGGCTGGTCTTGAACTCCTGACCTCGTGATCTGCCTGCCTCGGCCTCCCAAAGTGCTGGGATTACAGGCGTGAGCCACCACGCCCGGCCGCCAACACTTGTTATTTTCTGTTTTTTTACTTTAATTTTGGTAGTAGTCATCCGAATGAATATGGGATTGTATTTTATTGTGGTTTTGATTTGGATTTCCCTAATGATCAGCAATACTGAGTATCTTTTAATGTGTTTATTGGTCATTTGTATATCTTCTTTGGAGAAATCCATATTCAAGTCCATTGCCCGCCCCCCCGCACCCCCCCCTTTTTTTTTAGTCTCACGCTGTTAACCAGGCTGGAGAACAGTGACGCAAGTTAGGAACTGTAGCCTCCGCCCCCTGGGTTCAAGCGATTCTCCTGCCTCAGCCTCCCGAGTACCTGGGACTACAGGCATGCGCCTAATTTTTGTATTTTTATTAGAGATGGGGTTTTGCCACGTTGGCCAGGTTGGTTTTGAACTCCTGACCTCAGGTGATCCGCCTGCCTTGGCCTCTGAAAGTGCTGGGATTACAGGCATGAGCCACCGGGCCTGGCCGTTGCCCATTTTGAATGGAGTATTTTGTTGTCGAGTTTTAGGAGTTCTTTGTGTGTTCCAGATGTTACTCTGTGATCAGATATATAATTTATAAATATTTTCTTCCATTCTTTGGGTTGCCTTTTTACTCTGTTGGTACCGTGGTGTTTTTTTGTTTGTTTTTGAGAAATGGTCTCACTCTGTCACACTGACTAGAGTACAGTGGTGCAATCTCAGCTCACTGCAGCCTCAACTTCGCAGGCTGAAGCAATCCTTCGACTTCAGCCTTCCGAGTAGTTGGGACTACAGGCATGTACCACTATGCCCCATTAATATTTGTATTTTTTGTAGAGACAAGGTTTTGCCATTTGCCCAAGCTGGTCTTGAACTCCTGAGCTGAAGCAGTCCAACTGCCTCGGTGTTCCAAAGTGCTGGGATTCCAGGCATGAGCCACCGTGCCTAGCCAATATGTGTTTTGTTACAGATTTTGTTGTTGTTGTTGAGACAGAGTCTTGCTATGTCACCCAGGCTTGCATACAGTGGTTTGATCATACCTCACTGCAACCTCCAACTCCTGGGCTCATGGATCCTCCTGCTTCAGCCTGTCAGGTAGCTAAGTTAGAGGCACATGCCCATAAAAATAGTTTTGTAGAGAGGGAGTCTCCCTATGTTGCCCAGGCTGGTCTTGAACTCCTGGCTCAAGCCACCCTTCCACCTCAGCCTCCCAAATTGTTGAGATTATAGGTGTGAGCCACCATGCCTGTCCCAGAAAAGTTTTTAATTTTCATAAAGTCCATTTTGTCTATTTTTTCTTTTTTTGCCTGTAGTTTTAGTGTCATACTCAAGAAATCATTGCTAAATCCAGTGTTGTCAAGCTTTTGCTTTGTGTTTTTCTCTGAGAGTTTTATAGTTTTAGCTCTTAAATTTAGGCCTTTGCTCTTCAGTTTAGGATTTTAATGAAGAGAATGTGGAAAGGTGCTAGTCATAATTTTCTCTTCTTGCTTGCTTGTTCTCATGCTTGCTGCCATTTTGATCTTTGATCACAGACTAGTATTTAAAATGATACTTAACAGTGCCTTCAGCTTACTTTGCATTTTCCTCTTTCTGGTTCTCATTTCATTTATAGTAGTGGCTTATAATTCCATGGTGTTAGCTCTTTCTGATTTTAAAAGATGCAGACTGTTTTATAATACAACCTCCCTGTGTTTAGCTGTCAAATACCACAAATATAATACAAGGATAATTTAATTCTTTTCTAGCCTTAGAAGTCACTAACTGGGTATAGGTAGTTGTATCAGCAGGGATCAGTTAATTGGGTGCCCTGGATTGGAATGTTGGTGCTACTAGGAATAATGATAATATTGTCTGGGTAGTGAGTATAGGATGAAGAAGGAAGTGTAATTGTGTAGGACATAAGTATTATTTTATACTATAATTGTGTGTTTTTTTAAAGGATTTGGACGTGGCAGAGGGAGAGGGGCAGGAAGGTTCTCAACCCAAGGCATGGGGTAAGTGATAGCCATCCTATTTTTATAATTATTTACTTCCCTAGTTTTTATTCTGCAGTTGCTTCTAATACCCTACATCTAATTTAGTCATCATGGTGAATCTAGTGTTTTCTATACTTAAAGAGATTTACAAATAAGAAAAATAATATGAATAAAATTGATCTTTTAAACAGGCATTAGAGCAGGGTTTCTAGCCTTGGCATTATTGAGATTGTGTATTGGATAATACTTCCATGGGGTGGTAGGATCTCCTGTATATTGTAGGTTGCTTAGCAACATCTCTCTTCTCTGTACTATTAATAAATGTCAGTAGCACTTCGCCTGAAGTTGTGACAAAATACCTATAGACGTACCTAAATGGCACTGCCTAAGAGCCATTTTAGTTAATCCAGCCATTGTCTTTGAATGCTAAGTAAATGTAATGCTTATTTATGTATGAGTGATACCTTTTTCCTGAATTGAAATAGTAAACATTGAACAGACTCAAAGGCACTAAAATCAGAGGTTTATTTCTTGTTTCTGGGTGTTTTTTTACTTTTTGTTGCTTCTAAAACATTAGCTCCCATTGGATTTTTAGGAAGAGTTTTAAAACATCCTGTGGAAGCCATACGTAGATGCAGTCAAGGAAAGGAATTGGCTCCAAGAAAAGCCCTTTGTCTCTCTCTAACTTCAGGCAGCACTCTTGGTGTTAATGCCTTCTAGAAGTAGTGGTGCCTCATGCAATCTGCCTTCTGCCTAAGCTCCTTTGAGGAAAAGGAGGGATGAAAACACAGGGAGCAAACTCTCAGGAGCACTTTAAGACATAGCCCTGCTCATTAGCTTTAAATTGTTTTGTGGATTTTTCTGTTTACTTCACATTCCTTTGTGAAAATTTTAAAGGTAATATTTGTTTTGGCTCATGTTAGACCTCTGAACCATGATTCGATTAAACTGGGTGTTCAGTTTAGGATTTTATTGAAAAGAAATAGAGGTGCTGAACAAAATGTTTTCTTCTTTATCTAATGTTTCTGTAAAGGAGCATATAAATCTAAGCTGTAAAAGCCAAACTTGGATTCTGACTTGGGAAGAAAATACCTGTTGCCTATTTATGCCTTATTTTTCAGCAGGACTCTCATAAGAGCTCTTATTCTGCCTTGAAAGATTATACGTCTCCTTGTCTGCTTTAGGATGCAGAGGACCGTGTTTCAGGAAAATAAGGCTATTATACCAGAATGTGTGGAAGGTCCCTAGGCAACTTCTGGTTTTCACATCTGCATCTCCATGGCTGGCAGAATTAGTTATATTTAAATAGGGGAAGGAGAGGTGATGTCTTTTACAGTGGCTGTGAGAAGGCACTGGGCTTGTTTGGTGGAAGATCATGTATGGTTAATATTTTGGCTTAGGTGTTTGCTTCTTTTGCCTTTATTATTTCTTTATTTCAAACCCCAGGACATTTAATCCTGCAGACTATTCAGATTCTACATCTACAGATGTGTGTGGGACAAAGCTAGTAGTTTGGGAAGCTGCTCAGAATGGTGCAGATGAGGGAACTGGTAAGTGTTCTGTTTTTGCCAGAGATGAGTTTTAAATGTTTGAGCTATTAAGAGTTGTATGTTCTCATACAAAGATGAAGTCTAAATGTGCTGATGGAAAAGAATGAAAAACAGGCTACTGTCCTACCTCTGAAACTATTCTTAGTTGGTTCTTACCACCCAAAGTCTGTCACATACAAATCTCATGATGACAAGGAATTTGATTTTCCCTTCTGCAAGCTAAGAAAGAGGCTATATAAGGTAATTGGCATAAATCAGCACAAACCCACACTCTGATCAAAGTATGTCACAGATATATAGAATTTCTGAGGAGAAGATTTTTTACTGGAAGTACTTCCCATTTCTAATGGTGGATTCTTTGGCCAGATAATGTATGATAATGTGGTAGATGATAGATGGGTTTGTAGCAACGTTGCCTCTGCAGGTTTTTCTGTATCATGCTGTTTCTGGATTATTTATTTTCTGAAATTCTTGGGGTAAATATTGGTTATTTATATAGAGTTCTTTGTACAGTAATTATTGAGATTATACTTATAGAAACATAATTTAGCTGGGCGCGGTGGCTCACACCTGTAATCCCAGCACTTTGGGAGGCCGAGGCAGATGGATCACTTGAGGTCAGGAGTTCGAGACCAGCCTGGCCAACATGGTGAAACCCTGTCTCTACAAAAATACAAAAAATTAGCCGGGCATGGTGGCACATGCCTGTAATCCCAGCTACTCGGGAGGCTGAGACAGGAGAATCGCTTGAACCCAGGAGGTGGAGGTTGCAATGAGCCGAGATCGTGCCATTGCACTCCAGCCTGGGCAACAGAGCGAGACTTCATCTCAAACAATGACAACAAAAACGAAAAACAGAAACATAATTTAACACAATGAATTATAACCTAGACTTAGAATATAGCTCAATAAATTATCAAGGCCAGGTGCAGTGGTTCATGCCTGTAGTCTCAGCATTTAGGTGGCCAAGGCGGGAGGATCACTTGAGCCAGAGTTTGAGACGAGCCTGGTTAACATAGTAAGACCTCATCTATACTAAGAAAACTTAAAAAATTAGCATGGCATGGTGGTGTGCACCTGTGGTCCCAGCTGCTTGGGAGGCTGAAGTGGGGAGTGTCACTTGAGCCTGGCAGGTTGAGGATGCAGTGAGCTATGATTTTGCCACTGCACTCCAACCTGGGCAACAGAGCAAGGCGTGCCTGAAAAAAAAAAATAATGCACACAAACATCCATATAACATCAACCCTAGCCAAAAAATAAGAGAGTACCACCAGAAGCACGACTAACCAACTGTAAATAGAGAAACTGTAAAGAGGGTCAACAAAATTTATAAGTTGTTATTTGAAAACACTAGTAAAATCGTTAAGCTTCTTATGAGATCATCAAGGGAAGGTGAGAACGTGAATAATTGGTTCCAGGAAGGAGAAAAGGAATATTGATATGGATCATATAGATATTAGGAGATTATAAGATAACTCAGCTTGAGCTCAGGAGTTTGAGACCAGCCTGGGCAACATGGTGAAACTCCGTCTCTGCAAAAAAAAAATTAAAAAGTTAGCCGGGCATAGTATCATATGCCTGTGGTCTCAGCTACTTGGGATGCTGAGGTGGGAGGATCACTTGAACCTAGGAAGCATAGGTTGCAGTGAGCTGAGATCGTGCCACTGCACTTTAGCCTGGGTGACAGAGTGGGACTCTGTCTCAAAAAAAAAAAAAAAAAAAAAAAAAAGAATTATACACGGTATTTAAGTTTGCTTAACTGGTTTTTTTTGGGGGTGGGGGGGTGTTTGAGGTGGGGTCTCTGTCACCCAGGCTGGAGTGCAATGGCACGATCTTGGCTCACTGCAACCTCCACCTCCCAGGTTCAAGCGATTCTCTTGCTTCAGTGTCCTGAGTAGCTGGAATTACAGGTGTCCGGCACTATGCCTGGCTAACTTTTTCGTATTTTTAGTGGCAGGGTTTCACCATGTTGGCCAGGCTGGTCTTGAAC
Source organism: Homo sapiens (assembly GCF_000001405.40). NCBI lineage: Eukaryota > Metazoa > Chordata > Mammalia > Primates > Hominidae > Homo > Homo sapiens. Next base: position 33,969,660 of record NC_000009.12, on the reverse strand, counting down.
TCCTGACCTCAAATGATCCACTCACCTTGGCCTCCCAAAGTGATGGGATTATAGGCGTAAGCCACCGTGCCCCACCTTCTTTTCTTTCTTTCTTTCTTTTTTTTTTTTTAAAGAGAGAGCATCTCACTCTGTTGTCCAGGCTGGAGTGCAGTAGTGTGATCATAGCTCACTGTAGCCTTGAACCATTGGGTTCAAGCCATCCCACCTTAATCTCCCTAGTACTTACTGCTGGAACTATGGCACACACCACTGCACTGGGTGAATTTTAAAGTTTTTTGTAGAGATAAGATTTTGCATTGTTGTGGAAGCTGGTCTTAAACTCCTGGCTTCAAAGATCCTCCCACCCAGCCAGTGCTAGGATTATTGACATGAGCCACCATGCCCAGCTTAGTTTGTTTAACTTTTAAAAAACAAGTCAAATCAACTCCTAGATGCATACCCAAAAGAAAGGAAAATATAGGTTCACATAAAATCTTGTACAAAAAGATTGATAGCAACATAATTCATCATTATAAAAAAGTAGAAACAACCCATACTTCCTGTTGAACAGGTCTGTCTGGGGGGAAAAAACCTCAAATGTTTATCAATGGATGAATGTATAAGCAAAATATAGAATATACATAGAATGGAATAATGTTCAGCCATAAAAAGGAATTAAGGTACATGCTACAACATGGATGAACCTTGAAAATAGTATGCAGAGTCACAGAAAGACCACATATATTGTATTTTATGATTTTATTTATCTGAAATGTCTAAGGCAAATTTATAGGGACAGAAATTAGCTTGGTGGTTGCCTAGAGATAGAACTATTTGGGAAAAGTGGTGAGTGACTACAAATGAGTATGGAGTTTGTTTTTGGAGTGATGAAAATGTTCTAGAATTAGAGGTGATGATTGCACAAATTGTGAATATACTAAAAATTATTCAACTGTCTGTTGTAAAAGGATAGATTTCATGTTATGTGTATTGTATATAAAAATATAGAAATTAGTATTATCCATTTAACAAAATTAAGGAGAAAAATCCGTATGATTATTTCAGTAAGGAAAAGTGTTCAATATTCGTTCATGATTAAAACAAACAGTGTTTCTGAGTGGCACGTGGGATTTGAGCCTGATAATGGCCCTTGATTCCACCAACATGGAGACTTTGTACCGCGTCCCATTAGTGCTCAAATGTCCCAACCTGAAGCTGAAGAAGCCGACCAGGCTGCACATGCCCTCGGCCATGACTATGTATGCCCTGGTGGTGGTGTCTTGCTTCCTCATCACCAGAGGAATAATTTATGATGTTATTGTTGAACCTCAAAGTGTTGGCTCTGTGACCGATGAACATGGGCATCAGAGGCCAGTAGCTTTCTTGGTGTACAGAGTAAATGGACAGTATATTATGGAAGGACTTGCATCCAGCTTCCTGTTTACAATGGAGGGTTTAGGTTTCATAATCCTGTACCAATCGAATGCACCAAATATCCCAAAACCCAGTAGATTTCTTCTTCTATTCATTGGATTTGTCTGTGTCCTGTTGAGTTTTTTTATGGCTAGAGTATTCATGAGAATGTAACTGCCGGGCAATCTGATAAGTTAGAGTGCCTTTTGAGAAGAAATCAATGGATACTGGATTTGTTCCTGTCAATGAAGTTTTAAAGGCTGTACCAATCCACTGTTGTGAAATGTGGAAAAGAATGAAGAGCAGCAGTAAAGAAATATGTAGTGAAAACACTGGAAGTGTAGCTTGGAGTAAAATTTCTTCTTGGTATCAAAGAGACAAGTTTATCACAGTATTTTTTCTCCTGCTGACCTATTGACATCAATGATGTTGAGTGACATTTTCTTCTTAGTTTTTCATTTTTTAAAGAAAATATACTCCAGTTTACAAATATAATATTGAATAAAGTGATTATTTTTTACAGCCCCTTTAACTTGTTTTTGGAGATGACATTTCTGATTTTCAGAAATTAATATAAAATCTGGAAGCAAGATTCCATAAATTGAGAATTCTAGATGGCTGATCAGCTTTACCTGTGGTGCTTTGCCTTTTAATAGGGAGTGTGATAATACATTATTTCAGATACGTATGTATGACTGTTTCCTGAACAATAAGATCTATGAAAGGAGCAGAAATAAATAATTTTTCTAATTAAAAACAAACAAAATCCTGGCAGTTAGGAATACAAGGAATTTCCTTAATCAGATAAGGAATATCTGTAAACTTTCAGCAGGTGTTACAGTCAATGGTGATATATTGAATGGTTTTCCTCTGGAACAAGATAAAAACACATGCGGTCACTGCTTCCATTCACACTGTACTGGAGGTCCTAGCCAGTGCAATAAAGAAAAAATAAGTAAGTCATAAGGATTGGAAAGGGAGAATAAACCGTTGTTTTTTGTGATTGTGTAAAAGAATCTGTAGACAAATTATTGGAGAGTTTCACAAGCACAAGATGCAAGACACAAGTTTCATGAAGGCATGTATTTCTATAAATCATCAACAAACAGAAAATGGAAAAAAATTGCTAATAGCTTCAGAAAACACCAGATGCCTAGGAATAAGTCTAATGATATGTAAGATATGTAAGATTAGAAAAAATATAAAACAATATTGAGAGAAAATAAAGAAGACAATAAATAGAGGGATATACCACTTTAATATATTTTAGTCCCACTGTTGTGACATTTAGTTTTTACTGACTCAGTCTTTGAATTTATTAATTCACGGTGGTCCGTCTCATGTAAATTTTCCCCACTGATTTTTAAAAAAAATTAGATTTGTTGATGTAGTTTTTATATGTATACACATATATTCTCCCCTTTTTAGAGGTACAGAGGATGAATTCTAACAAATGCATATAGAATTATAACCATCATTAAAATATAATTATGGTACTTCTTTACTAGCAGTGAACAATTGCAAACAAAGAATAAGAAAAACAGTACTTTTTTTAGTAGTACCAAAAAAACAAGAAATAGTTATTTCTGACTACGTATATGCAAGATTTGTATGTTAATATTATGCAACATGTTGGGAAAGATCAAAGAAGACCCTCATAAAAGGGAACATATTCAGTGTTCATGAATTAGAAGACTCAATATCTTTGAAATGTCATTTCTCTCCAAATTGATCGATAGCTTCAGCACAATTCCAATCAAAATCTTAGCAGATTTTTGACAACTTGATTCTTTTTTTTATTTTATTTTTTTTCGAGATGGAGTCTCACTCTGTCACACAGGCTGGAGTGCAGTGTTGCGATCTCAACTCACTGCAACCTCCATCTCCTGGGTGAGTGATCTCTTACCTCAGCCTCCCGAGTAGCTAGGATTACAGGTGTGCACCACCATGCCCAGCTAATTTTTTTTTTTTTTTTGTAGTTTTAGTAGAGACAGGGTTTCACCATGTTGGGCAGGTAAGTATTGAACTCTTGACCTCAAGTGATCTGCCCACCTCAGCCTCCCAAAGTGGTGAGATTACAGGTGTGAGCTATTGTGCCTGGCCTTGACAACTTGACTCTAAAATTTTTATATAATATTAAAGGAACTAAAGTAGCCTAAACAATTTTGAAAAGGAAAAAAAAGTTCTAAGACCCACACTCCCTGATTTTTTATTTTTTTGAGATGGAGTCTCGCTTCGTCAGTCAGGCTGGAGCGCAGTGGCACGATCTCTGCTCACTGCAGGCTCTGCCTCCCGGGTTCACGCCATTCTCCTGCCTCAGCCTCCCCAAGTGCCTGGGACTACAGGCACCCGCCACCACACCTGGCTAATTTTTTTGTATTTTTAGTAGAGACGGGGCTTCACTGTGTTAGCCAGGATGGTCTCCATCTCCTGACCTTGTGATCTACCCGCCTCGGCCTCTCAGAGTGCTGGGATTACAGGTGTGAGCCACCGCACCCGGCCCACACTCCCTGATTTTAAGAACTGCTCTAACACTGCAGTAAGCAAGACACATAAATCAATAGCATAGTAGTTTAGAAATAAACACATATACATATGGCTAATTGTTTTTTGTCAAAGATTATGAGGCAATTCAATGCCATACATTATACTGTATACAAAAATTACCCTCCAAGGTTACACTTAAACATGAAACCTGAAAGTACAACTTACAAAGAAGATATAGTGGCAAATCCTAGTGATTTTAGGTTAGGCAAAGATCTCTTATATAGAATCCGATAAGCCTGAGTCATAAAAGAGAAAATTGACAAAGTACATTTTATCAAAAATTGTAAAATTCTTCTGAAGAGAAAAATGAAATGATAGAATGAGACGTAGTCTTGGAGAAAATGTTTATATAAAATCCATATTTGATAAGGACTTATATACAAAATAAATAAAGAACTCTCACAATTCAGTAATAAGAAAACAACCCCCTAAAACAAATGAGCAATTAAAAATGGGGGGAAAAAATGGAAGAAGTTCTAGAAATGGATAGTAATGATTGTACAACATTGTGAATATACTCTGTGCCACTAAATTGTACACTTGGAGAGGGTCAGAAATGGTAAATTTTCTGTTTTAACACGGAGACTGGTGAAGGATAATTCCTGTGACTCTATAATTATTTTAAGATAAAAAGTTAATTAAAAGCAAAATATTTGCATTTATAAGGGAACATGATAAATGGATAGCAAACAAATCCGTGAGTGTGCTCATCATTATTAGTCATTGGAGAAATACAAAGTAAAGCCACATTGAGTTACCCCCATTCACCTATTAAAATGGCTTTAAAGGAAATGAAAAATTCCAAGTGCTGGTGAGGATTGTGGAATAACAGGTACTCATATACATGCCTGGTGGGAAAGCATACCTATCATACAATCTGACAATCCCATTCTTAGATTTTTATAAAAGTGGAATGAAAACACATCCAAACAAAAATCTGTATGTGATATTATAGTGCTTTTATTAATACCTCCACTGATGTTTTTTTTTCTTGCTTCTTTTTTTTTTAAGAGATGGGGGTCTCAATTTGTTGTCCAGGCTGGAGTGTAGTTGGTATTCACAGGCGTAATCTTAGTGCACTACAACCTCAAACTCCTGGGCTCAAGTGATCCTCCTGCATCACCTTCCTGTGTAGCTGGGACTACAGCCCTGCACCACTGTGCACAGCTTCCACACAGTGTGGAAGAACTGTGTGTGGAAGCTGTGCTGGCTTCCATGGCTTTGAAGCCGAATGTTGTGCAAGTGTTGAAGCAGAATGTTGAATTAGTCAATTAGTTACTTTTTTTAAAATTTTCTCTTTCCTCCTCTCTCTTTTCTTTCATCTCCTCCCACTTATTATTTAAAGTAGCAGATTTCTTGCTGAAAAGCATTTAGATAAGCAAAACCAATTTGTTGTAGAATACAGTTAAAGGATGTCAGCTGATGGTGCTGGCTGTTTTTCCAGAGGCCTCACAGAATGGTATTGGCTTGTTGATAAGAGAGTTATGAGTCCAGGACTCAGCCTTATAGGCTCAGAAACCCAACTGTTGACAGTATAATAACCACAAATCTATTCCTGATATGAGGGACCCTCAAATTAACCAAACTAGAAAGACTTGTGTATACTCAGAAGGCTAATTTATAAATTTTCTAAAAACTGGTACCTGTTGAACAGATTAGAATACTCTCTTTGATGAGTGAGAAGGGAGCTTGGTAAACATGGGCGTGAGAATGAGAATAATTGAAGTGATTTGAGTGTCCAAGAGCCATCAAGGATAAGATTCATAACTTGATTTGCAGTGACCTGTAAGAGTATGGATTTCAATTACATTTCACTATCCTTGGGCAGTAACGCAGCATATACATAGCTTTGACAGTGACCATCTTCTCTGTGATGAATACTTTCATTCTTTTCATATGTTTAAACCCTCAATTTTACATTGGTCCACAGAACTGGCATCAAATACTCACAACATAGCTCAGGATCTGTCAAACAAAAGTTCTTATGGACTCAAAGGTATGAATACTTAATTTTTTAATTTTTAAAATTAAGAATCTTATAAATTGCTTGCAATATCTTTCATTTTTTATCAAAGCTAGCTAATAAAAATTTATCAGATAAATGTTTGTAAACTATACCTATTTATTTGGTAATCAGATTTGCAGTTTGCTAATGGAAATGTTTTATTGATTGACTTTCAAGGTGCCACAGAATTTTCATCATTATTTTCCATGTTCCTAAGTGGCCTTAACATACATTCGTTAGAGGACTAACACCAAGTTAAATTGAACATAAAACATTCATCTCCAATATATTGTTTTAAGCTGAAAATAAGGATTGTTGAAGTTTTTCCGTTATATTTTGTGGTGTAGGTCTAATGACCAAATTAAAATTTTAATATTCCAAAATATGATTAGGACCTGAGCCTTTGCCTTCTGTATTTAATGTCTGGAATTTTTTATAGTCTGTGTGGGTATGGCTAGTTCCTGCAACAACGTGGCACTTGCTTCTCACATGGGAGTTTCCCCTGTAATTTCCTGACTTACCACTCTATCATGTTGCATCTCTGCTTATAACTATCTGTTTCGCTGTTTTTCCTTCAGGCTACATACATAGTGCCTTGTACTTGCTTTTAAATGTACTCAGATTCTCACCCTATTATGCAAGTCCAAAGTTGTGTTTAATTATTTTCAAAATACTGCTCTCAAAGTGGTAGGCCAGTCTTTTTTATTTTTATTATATTATTTTTATTTATTTTTTTTGAGATGGAGTTTTGCTCTTGTTGCCCAGGCTGGAGTGCAATGGTGCGATCTCGGCTCACTGCAACCTCCACCTCCTGGGTTTAAGCAATTCTCCTGCCTCAGCCTCCCAAGTAGCCGGGATTTACAGGTGTGAGGCACCACTCCTGACTAATTCTTTGTATTTTTAGTAGAGATGGGGTTTCACCATGTTGGCCAGGCTGATCTGAAACTCCTGACCTCAGGTGATCCACTCATCTCTGCCTCCCGAAATGCTGCAATTACAGGCATGAGCCACTGCTCCAGGCCCTATTTTTTAATTATTTATTTATTTATTTATTTATTTATTTATTTATTTTTGAGATAGAGTCTTGCTCTGTTGCCCAGGCTGGAGCAGTGGCATGATCTCAGCTCACTGCAACCTCCGCCTCCTGGGTTCAAACGATTCTCCTGCCTCAGCCTCCTCAGTAGCTGGGACTACAGGCACACGCCACCACGCCTGGCTAATTTTTGTAGTTTTAGTAGAGACGGGGTTTCATCATATTGACCAGGCTGGTCTTGAACTCCTGACCTCGTGATCCACCCACCTCGGCCTCCCAAAGTGCTGGGATTACAGGCATGAGCCACCATGCCCAGCCTTTTTTAAACTTTTAATATGTCTCCTGAATTGCCATGGTAGGCCATTCTTACTACATATCATGTATAAAAGTCTGTTTTAACTTACTACATTAACTGTACATATAGTGGCTGAGCTGTGCAATTTTAAAAATTAGAAAAAATAATGTATATTTTAAGCTTTAGAGTACTTTAATATTTTTTATGTAGGTTTTTGTAATGTTTCATCATTGTTTTTCTCCTGGAAATTTTCCTTTATATCCCTGTGTGTGTATGTTTATCTTCGCCATCAAGCTTTCTCTTACAATTCTGGCTTTCATTAACTTCATCCTCCAAATTTCCAGTGTATTAGTGGTTTCTCAGACAGAATTAAATGTTTTCGGTTTTGAAACATCTGTATTTTACATCCAAATATTGGCACAGTTTACATCACATTTCACAGAGAGCCACCCCAATCTGAAATCAGGTACATCCTGTTAAAAACATTCCATAAATAAGGACTCTTTTTCTAGGAAACAATCATCATTTTACTTATGAGGAGGTCAGTTATTTGGCTGTTTACGTGATTCTAAGGAAGGTAGACATGGTTACCTGACTTCTTTTGTCTCACAAGCATGCTCCTCCTCTTCCCTCTCCATACACAACTTTTGGAGAGAAATGGAATTTTGTTTGTCAGATGATTAACTCCTTTCTTCTTATGAAGGAACTGAAAACATCCATAATCCCTCTTTCTGGGGTTGTCGTTAATTTCTTAGTGTATTTCCTTTAAAACCATTATCTATGGGCATTTTTTTCATACATGCTGTAAACAATGGCCCTCTACTTATATAAGATCTGTAAGTAAGTATTTTTTGAGTAGCAACACTTTTGAAAGTACTTAGATGTGTTATGGATGAGTATTCTGTAAGAACTGTTTGAGCGCATCCTGTGTACTGACTCCAGAACTTAAAGCAGCAGACTTGATATGAGCAAGAGTAATGTTGAACTTTGCTGGAGACCTATTAGGAAGCCATGTAGTAGAGCTAATATTTTATTAAAAGGATGCTTCTCTAAATTTGATAATTCAGTAATCCACCTGAAATAGGGTCCAAGACAGATTTGCCTTAAAATGAAATTTGTTGTTTTGAAGACTATATCGGAAGAAATCAAACCATTGTTAAATGTCTATATTTGTGCTACATCCATACTTTTCTTACTCATGGCAGAATTGCTTGGATGTGACCTATATTGAAGCAAAATCCATTTGAAACACTGATTTGAGGTTATGTAGATAGTGACTACTAGTCAAGTTGCATTTGTAAACATTATTTCAAAGAGAAGGGGAGAAAAGAAATATTACTGATTTTACCGAGAATAGATTAAGAACGTCATGTTTCTTGGGTTGTAAACTAAATTGCTAGTGAGGCGTATGTATCTTTTTTCCCCGCATAGTACACAAAAAGGAATCATTTGGACTGAGACTGTATTTGACTTTGTGGTATAAACTTTGATTGCTGTTGTTTCCCAACAGGGGCTTGGAAGAATTCTGTGGAAGAGTGGACAACAGAAGACTGGACTGAAGATGTAAGTGTTTGCTGTCAGATGAGACCTTTCTTTTTTTTTTTTTTTGAAATGGAATTTCACTTTTGTTGCCCAGGCTGGAATGCAATGGCGTGATCTTGGCTCATTGCAACCTCTGCCTCCCAGATTCAAGCAGTTCTTCTGCCTCAGCCTCCCAAATAGCTGGGATTACAGATGTGCGCCACCATGCCTGGCTAATTTTGTATTTTTTTTTTAGTAGAGACGATGTTTCACCATTTTGGTCAGGGTGGTCTCAAACTCCTGACCTCAGGTGATACACCCGCCTCAACCTCCCAAAGTGCTGGGATTATAGGCGTGAGACACTGCGCCTGGCCGATACCTGTCTTTCTTTCGGTGTTTGGTGGGGACTTTGGTGCTTGGAAGAAAGAGCCTGAGACATCTTATCTCATCTTGGCTTCTTTTCTGGCATGTATCGTAGCCAGGGTTTTTGAGGGTTGGCTTTTTTAGCAGATGCTTCTTAAAAGGAACTTAGATTTTCAGATTTTTAAGAATATTTGTTTTTGTGCTTAAAAATGACCAATTGTCAAGATGATTGGGAGATTGGAAAAAAACAAACAAGAAAAAAGGTTGAGGTGTTAGGCTGGGCGTAGTGACTCACAACAGCACTCTGAGAAGCTAAGGTAGGAGGATCACTTGAAGCCAGGAATATGAGAACTGCCTGAGTAACAAAGTGAGACCCCTGTCTCTACAAAAAAAAAAATAATAAAAAAATTACCTGGGTGTGGGGTTGTGCATCTGTAGTCTCAGCTACTCAGGAGGCTAAGGCAGGAGGATCTCTTGAGCCCAGGAGTTCAAGGCTGCATTATCATTCGACCGCCCTCTAGCCTGGGTGACAGAGCAAGAATCCATCTTAAAGCAAACAAACAAAATTTACCAGGTGTTAAGTAGGATTGATTTTTTTTTTAAGCTTATCTGTGTTTTGTTTGACCTGATAGCCAGCTGACACTGTTGCCCAGATTTGTGAACTATTATTCTTTAGAATATTTTCATTAAAGGGGAGTCTGTATTTTGGATCACAGTTGAAATTAACCTGAATAAGTTTGCTCTGGTTCCATGCCCAACCTCTTCCCCTTTTGACTAGAAGAACCTTTTTTTAAAAAAAATTCCTTTATTGCACAGATATTTTTGAGCATGTTACACTAGCTTCTGGGTACTGTCAGTCTATAAGTTCTGCTTTCAGCATAGTATTTTTTTTGGAAAAATAAGTTAAATAATAAAGAGAAAAAAGGGATAAATAACCCAATACCATAAAATTTTATACCTCTTTTCTGTTTGACTGTCAAGTTCTAGAACTCTTGAGTTTGGTATCTGTCTGACACAGAGTTTGAGCAGACATTGAGAGGGAAATAATAAATGGGTTACAAATACAGATCCTCAAAACTATATACAATGACGCACACTTTGAGATTCTGTCTTTTTCTCTGTCTCCATATGTGTTTCCATTTATGCTAACAGGACCTGCTTTGAATGAGAAACAAGAAACATGATTTCTACTTGACTTGTTTAATGACCTTAGGCAGGGCGTTGTTCCTTGGGTCTTACTACTCCTTCACACACAGTATTATTTGGGTTTTAAGTGGTGTTTGAACAACCCACTACCATAGATAGATTCATTTTACCTTGTAAAAAATAAGTACTTTAATTTTTTTTTTTTTGAGACAGGGCCTTGCTCTCGCTCTGTCACCAGGCTGGAGTGCAGAGGCACGATCTTGGCTCACTGCAGCCTCCGCCTCTGGGTTCAAGTGATTCTCCTGCCCCAGCCACCTGAGTAGCTGGAATTATAGATGCACGCCACCATGCCTGGCCAATGTTTGTATTTTTAGTAGAGACGGGGTTTCACCATGTTGGCCAGGCTGGTCTCGAATTCCTAACCTCAGGTGATCTGTCCGACTTGGCTTCTCAAAGGTCTGGGATTACAGGCATGAGCCACTGCGCCCGGCCTTTTTTTAATTTTAGAGACTAGGTCTTGCACTGTTGGCCAGCTCACTCCAGCCCCAAACTCCTGTGCTCAAGGGATCCTCTTGCCTCAGCCTCCAAGTAGTTGAGATTACAGGTGCGTGCCGTCATGCCTGGCCCTTCCTTTAAAAAAAAAAAAAAAAAAGGCCGGGCACAGTGGCTCATGCCTGTAATCCAGCATTTTGGGAGGCTGCGGTGGGCGGATCACCTGAGGTCAGGAGTTCAAGACAAGCCTGGCCAACGTGGTGAAACCGTGTCTCTACTAAAAATACAAAAATTAGCCAGGTGGGATGGTGGGCACCTGTAATTCCAATTACTTGGGAGACTGAGGCAGGAGAATCACTTGAACCCGGGAGGCACTTGCAGTGAGACAAGATCACACCATTGCACTCCAGCCTGGGCAGCAAGAATGAAACTCCATCTCAAAAAAAAAAGGGGGTGGGGAACCATTCAGTGTTTTATTATCATGTTTAGATATGTCAATGTTTATAGTAGTTCTCATTTATTTTTTCTCTTTTTCGTAAATCGATTTAATTTGTAAGTTTCAGGCAAAAATGGATTCACTGGGAATATTAAAATATACTACCTTGGGGCAGGCACAGTGGCTCATGCCTGTAACCCTAGCACTTTGGGAGGCTGAGGCAGGAGGATCGCTTGAGCCCAAGAGATCAAGTGCAGCCTGGGCAACATAGGGAGGCCCTGTCTCTACAAAAAATTTTTAAAATAGCTGTGTGTGATGGCAGGTGCCTGTAGTCCCAGCTACTTAGGAAGTAGAGGTGGGAGGAATGCTTGAGCCTGGGAGGTTGAGTTTGTAGCTGCAGTGAGCCTCAGTGATCATGTCACTGCATTCTTGCCTGGGTGACAGACTAAGGTCTGTCTCCCAAAAAAGAAAAAAAAACCCTTCCCACACACCCTGTTTTGGAATAGGATGCAACTTAGGCCCTTCTTGTTGACTTGTTGAACCGGTAAACAATTTAGCACTTTTATATTGTTGAAGAAAATGAACACCTACTGTCTCCTCTACCTCCTGCTTACACATAGTATGTCATGCAGGAAGTCTGGTTTTATACAGTGTTTCTGAGACATTTAGAGTTGATAAGAATTATGGGAACATTTTGAGTAGCATTTTTATGTTTTCCGTGTTACCTCATTAGATCAACATTTTCCAGCCTTTCAAAGCCGAGTCCCCACATTGAAAACATAAAAAGAATATGTATCTTTTATTAATGTCAGTTGAGGTTTCAAAAAATTTATCCTGAATGCCCTAAAAGTGAGTTAAAACAGTGTGCATATATCCCAAAATAATTATGCTGAGTGAAAGAAGCCAGGAATAAAGGTTTGGATACTTTTATGATTTCATTTAAAATTCTAGAAAATGCAGCCTAATCTGTAGTGTCAGAAAGCATGTGAGTGGTTGCCTGGGGATGCAGACAAGTTGTGGGATTGAGTGATTCCACAGGGACAGGTGGAAATTGTGGGGGAGTAAAGAATATGTTCACCGTCCTAATTGTGGTGATGGTTTCATGGGGGCCTATGTATGCCAGACTTATTCAGTTATTTGGTTTGAATATTTGCGGTTTATTGGATGTGTTAGAATGTGATAAAATTAATTTTTTAAAAATAATAGAAACTCATGGTTTAATAAAAATGAAATGTAAAATTACTGATCAATTAAGTACTAAAGACATCTGTCTTTGGGGGGAGAAAACATCGATTATTTCACCTTTACAAACTTCTTAATGACTTCTTCTTTTTTTTTTTTTGAGGCAGGATCTCACTTTGTCCCCTAGGCTGGAGTGCAGTGGTGTGATCATGGCTCACGGCAGCCTCAACCTCTGGACTGAAGCGATTCTCCTGCCTCAGCCTCCCATGTAGCTGGGACAGGTGCACACCACCACGACCAGCCAATTTTTTTTTTTTTCCTAGAGATGAAGCCTTACTTCTGGCCTCAAGCAATCCTCCTGCCTCGGCTGCCCAGAGTGTTGGGCTTTCAGGTGTGAGCCACCATTCCTGGCCACCTTCTCAACTTCTTTTTGGCATTTCTGTTAGCATTGTTGGTGGGTTTATTGGTATTCTCATTTTGTGTAATGACAAATAGAGAAGTGAGTCTGCGGTTGAGCCCTGGTTTGAGTGTTTCACTGTGTTGTTTACCATTAGTCTCATCATTTTCCTGATTTGAAGTCATTCTTGTAGGCCTTTCAATCTAAAATTACCTTCACTTGCAGCCGGGCGCCATGGCTTATACTTGTAATCCCAACACTTTGGGAGGTCAAGGTGGGTGCATCACTTGAGGCCAGGAATTGGAGATTATCCTGGGCAACATGGCAAAACCCTGTTTCTACTAAAAATACAAAAATTAGCTCGGTGTGGTGGCGCATGCTGGTGCGTGCCTGGAGGCCCAGCTACTCAGGAGGCTGAGGCGAGATGATCGCTTGAACCCAGGAGGCACAGATTGCAGTGAGCCGAGATCACGTCACTGCACTCCTTCCTGGGCAACAGCGCCAGACCCTGTCTCAAAAAAAAAAAAAAAAAAATTGCATTCACTTGAAAATTACTTGTCATGGTCACTTGTATATTTCATTTTCTTTAGAATAGCTGTTATGCGAAGTGTAAGAGACTACTGATGACTACAAATGATCAGGAAGTCAGTGTTTTGGGTTTAGTAGTATGTAGAATAAGATTAAATTTTTCAACTTTCCATACAGCTTTCTGAAACAAAGGTCTTCACTGCCTCATCTGCTCCAGCAGAGAATCACATCTTACCTGGGCAAAGGTAAATACTTTTTGCCATCTTATATTTGTTATTCAAAGCATTACAGAAATCTTTTGCCTCAGGAAAAGTATTTTCATTTTTGGGTCTCTTTCTATTTTTTCCCTTTTTATCCAAGGCTAACTTTTATTTTACCACTACTTGGTAAATCTGACAGAGCTTCAATCATTTTCTAATTGATGTATCCACTGATGAATTTGTTAGCAGTTGTTGCAGACATCATGTTAAACTTTTTTTTTTTTTTTTTCTATTTTGAGACGTAGTTTTGCTCTTGTTGCCCAGGCTAGAGTGCAGTGGCGCTATCTCGGCTCACTGCAACCTCCGCCTCTCGGGTTCAAGTGATTCTCCTGCCTCAAGCCTCCCAGGTAGCTGGGATTACAGGCATGCGCCCCCACGCCCAGCTAATTTTGTATTTTTAGTAGAGACAGTTTTTCCATGTTGGTCAGGCTGGTCTCGAATTCCCAACCTCAGGTGATCCGCCCACCTCAGCCTCCGAAAGTGCTGGGATTACAGATGTGAGCCACCACACCTGGCCCTTTTTTTTGTTTTGTTTTGTTTTTTTGAGACGGAGTCTCACTCTGTCGCCTAGGCTGGAGTGCAGTGGCACGATCTCGGCTCACTGCAACCCCCGCCGTCCTGAGTTCAAGTGATTCTTCTGCCTCAGCCTCCCAAGTAGCTGGGACTACAGGCGCCTGCCACCACGCCCGGCTAATTTTTGTATTTTTAGTGGAGACGGGGTTTCACCATATTGGCTAGGCTGGTCTCGAAATCCTGACCTCGTGATCCGCCAGCCTCGGCCTCCTAAAGTGCTGGGATTACAGGTGTGAGCCACCGCGCCTGGCCTAAACTTTTTTAATGGTTGCTATTTTCACTTTTGTAGACCTGTTTTTTTTTTTTTTTGACAGAATGAACTTAATACATTGTATTCTTTGGTTTCTTCATGTACCATTTATTTAGATCTTCTGAAACTAATACAGATCTCTTATTTTATTTGAGTTCTACTAGTTTTACTCTGCTAGATTACAGAAAAGGAAGGAACTTATGGGATAACCACATTCTTAGAATGTACACTGAAACAAATGACTGAAGAGCATTTATTTATATTCTAGTTTTCACACTAAACACCTTTGAAAGTGGTTTCAAAGTGTAGTGATCTGGAAAGATAAAAGACTGGTTACATATGATACCTTAGAAATGAAGGCAGTTTTGAACCTAACAGGATCAATCTCATGCTAAATGAGATGGTGATGAGATTTCATTGTAGGGAAATAAAAATGATTAATGATTATGTCTTATAGTATATTGTTTTGAGATTGTTTGGAGTTTGTTGTTAAATGCACATATTCTCTATTGTATTTATGATTCAGTGAATTTACTGGGATCATTGTCATGAAATTCAACTTGGCTATAGTCTATAAGGGAGAGGAACTCAGGCTAGGAACTTTGCCATGTGTCAGGAATGAGTCTTGAATTGTCCTGTAATCTGCCTGTCTTATTGGCATGGTGAGAATGTCAGTTAGGAGAACTGATGGGAACTGGCCTTTGAAAGGATTCAATGGCATTCATTACAAGGTTAGGTAATACGGTGCATCTGGCAGGTCCTACTACACTAGGTAAGTTTAGAAAAGAGTTGGTACAGGAAGTTTGTAGCTCATTGTTGTCAGGTAGTCCAAATTGGAATATCTGTCTGGGGGGTGTTTTAAGAGTTCTGGTTAACAGTATATTTGTTATTATACTGTGCATTTATTCCTGAATATTTTAAAGATAAAATTATATGGGCGTGTGTGTGTGTGTGTGTGTGTGTGTGTGTGTATATACACACACTTAAATGTATTATGGGATAGAATGTAAAAATTTAAGATAAATATGAAACTTGGCCAGGTAGGGTGGCTCACGCCTGTAATTCCAGCACTTTGGGAGGCCAAAGCAGGCAGCTCACTTGAGAGCAGGAGTTTGAGACCAGCCTGTCCAACATGGTGAAACCCTGTCTCTACTAAAAATACAAAAATTAGCTGGGCATGGTGGCACACGCCTGTAATCCCAGCTACTCGGGAGGCTGAGGCACGAGAATCGCTTAAGCCTGGGAGGCAGAGGTTGCAGTGAGCCAGGGTCACACCACTGCATTCCAGCCTTGGTAAGAGAGTGAGACACTGTCTTAGAAAAAAAAAAAAAGTGAAACTTATTGAATTGCTTACTGCAGGTGAGGTCTTCATTCCCTAGAAATATGGATTTATTAGGAACTCTGGTTTTAGGTAATAAATGGGTAAAATATTCTAGGTAAAATGAACCAAACTTGAGAAAATTGTTTAATTTTACTTTATTGCTCCAGGTTTTCAAATCAGTTTATAATGTGTTAGTCATTACTTTGAAAATTTCTCAATACACCTTTTGATTCTCTTCTCTGCAAAACCCTGCTTCAGTCTCTGTGGCTTGGTATGTTCTTTTGTGTGGATGATGCCCTCCTTTTGCCCCCTTAAACCCCATTTTCCAAAGGTTCTCCTCATTTGATTTTTAATGTAAATTCACTATATATTGATTGACTTCTCACATTCATTTGTTGGTAAGATTTGCTTATGACTGGTTCCTCATTGCTTTTTGTCTGCTTAGCATTGATCTGGTAGCCTTGCTCCAGAAGCCTGTTCCTCACAGTCAAGCCTCAGAAGCCAACTCCTTTGAAACTTCCCAACAGCAGGGCTTTGGCCAAGCCCTTGTCTTCACAAATTCGCAACACAACAATCAGATGGCACCAGGGACTGGCAGCTCCACTGCCGTCAACTCCTGTTCTCCTCAGAGCCTGGTAACTCACTTTTATTTCAGTGTGGGATTTTAAGAAATATACCCATTAGCAAATGTATTCTAGAATATGATACATGCTTTATAATTACTTTCTAAATATAAAAATATCTACAGTAAGGCCGGGCATGATGGCTCATGCCTGTAATCCCAGCACTTTGGGAGCTGGGGCATGAGGATTACTTGAACCCAGGAGTTTGAAACCAGACTGGGCAAAACTCTGTCTCTACGAAAAAAGCAAACTAACAAAAATTAGCTGAGTGTGGTGTTGTGTGCCTGTAGTCTCAGTTACTTGGGAGGCTGAGGTTGGAGGGTCACTTGTGCCCAGGAGTTTGAGGTTGCAGTGAGCCATGATCATGCCTCTGTACTCCAGGCTGGGTGACAGAGCGAGACCCTGTCTCTAAAACAAAACATCAAAAAATTCTACAGTAGATCTTAGTCCAGAAAACAATGATGTGGTAATTTCCAAGCACATATCTGATGATTCCATGTGGAATTTAACTACCTGAGTTTCCTGGACAAAGATAAAAATTTTTTTATGGTTTGTCAAATTCTTTGAACTGATGATCACTCTTGAGATTGAAAGTACCCCTTTCTTCTGAATGATGTTTTCCTTGTGTTTTGTTTCATATTATGTCTCTATAGTTAGTATATTCAATTTCTTGTTTTCCAATTAAATGCGAAAGTTTATCAGAATTGACTTGCTATAAAATCATGTAAAAACAGTCTGAGTCTGCCTAGGCGCTTACATTTTTTGCTTTTTTTTCCCCCTAAGACCGTAAAATAAGCTACATTTTCTTAAAATGCCAAATGATTAACAGAGGCCCTTATAGTTTGGATGTGTTTTTATTGAAACAGTGTCATTTAGTACTGTATGACTGACTTCCAATGTGTGTTAAGCTCCCATCCAGAAGGAACTTCAGAAACTGTTAGTGAAGGCTGTGAAGATAGGCTTATGGAAGTATAAGCTTAGATCATAGCTTATACAAGAATGTTGCTTTAGAATGGTGAACTGAAGTTCCTACCCAACTACAGGAAGTTCTGAGCTGGCAAGGGGAAGTTAGAAAGGTCTATGGATGCAGAACTACAGCTCTTACTAGGGATAATTATTTTAGTTTGTTGCTGTGTTTTTCCTGAAATTTATTGCTGAGAAACAGAATTTTCTCCCGAGTCAAATCGTTTGTTTTACCCTGATAAAATTGAGAATTGAATATTTAAACTTTTCCTTAGTATTTTCTACTCTGTGTAGCCATATCATGTGTTGGGCTTGGGGACTTGGTGTTTTTAGTATCATTGGTATATGAGGTGGTGTCAGTGCTTGAAGTAGAACAGCCCAAGGCTTCTCTATTTTGAGAAGGCCTAATAAAAACCCTGATTTTTAATTGACGCACCAGAGTCTTTTCCTCCTCCGCCTTTCCCTCTGCTACTGGTATAATTATGTAATGCCCTTGCTGAAATCTATGTGTGTCCACTGAATTGATAAGAAGGACTTGAGTTTTTACAGCAATCTTCAGATATGTTGCTTTATGTAGTGACCAGCATGAGAATGACCAACATGAGAAGGCAGAATAAGAATTGTTTGTGTGGCGTTGTATTAGAGCAGTGGTTCTCGACCCTACTCTAATCTTTAAAAATCACTGGGAGCTGGGCGCGGTGGCTCACACCTGTTATTCCAGCACTTTGGGAGGCCGAGGTGGGTGGATCACCTGAGGTCAGGAGTTTGAGACCAGCCTGGCCAATGTGGTAAAACCCCATCTCTACTAAAAATACAAAAATTAGCCAGGCGTAGTGGTGGGCGCCTATAATCCCAGCTTCTTGGGAGGCTGAGTCAAGAGAATCACTTGAACCCGGGAGGTGGAGGTTGCAGCGAGCCGTGATCATGCCATTGCACTCCAGCCTGGGCGACGAGAGAAACTCTATCTCAAAAAAAAAAAAAAAAAAAAAAAAAAAAAAAAATCATTGGGGAGGCCAGGCATGGCATGGTGGCTCATCCCTGTAAATCCCAGAACTTTGGGAGGCTGAGGCTGGAAGATTATGAGATGCCAGGAATTTGAGACCAGTCTGGCAACATAGCGAGGCCTCATCTTGCTAAAATAAAATAAGCTGGTTGTCATGGCACATGCCCTGTAATCATAGCTACTGTAATCCCAGCTACTTGAGAGGCTGGCATGGGAGGATCACTTGAGCCCAGGAGGTTGTTCTGTGGCCCTCCAGCCTGGGTTGACAGCAATACCTTGTCTCCAAATAATAATTAATAATGAACCTAGTAAATAACAGCAGCAACAGAAGTGATGATGATATTTCCCAAGTCTCTAAAACAAAACATGTCCTCATCTTTGGGATTGGGATTTGGGCACTGTGTGTGTTTGTGTGTATGTGCATGTATGCACATGTGTGTATTGTATACATTTTAAAAGTCTCTCCATTGATTTAAATGTGTAGGTGGACTTAAGAGGCCTATGCTGTGTATTACCTAGGACATGGCAGTAGTCATTGATTCAGTGATTTCGCTGTGTTGTAAAGCACATAGTGCATTTGATAAAACTAGCTGATGCATGTTAGGGATTATGTAGGATAACAGGATGAAGAGAGTCATCACCTGGGAAGCCTTCATTAAATCAGTGGGCTTGAGCTGGATTTTTGCAAATTGGTAGCAACCTCAGACCAGTGTATTGGGCAACCTGAAAAAAGAATCTGGAGCAGTGATAAGTAATGTTAGCACAACTGTTTCAGTATGAGCAATCTCTGTCACAGCTGTCCATAACCTAATGTTTTACTCAAAGCGAAGTTAGGATTTCCATCCAAGTGGGACATTCCTTGTCTTTGAATGTTGATAATAGAAGTAATTGTTTCAACTTACTTGAGGGAAGGCAAAGTATTTGTTTTTGACCTTAAATGGATATGAAATGTTATTTTTGGGCCAGGCACGGTGGCTCATGCCTGTAATCCCAGCACTTTGGGAGGCTGAGGCAGGTGGATCACAAGGTCAGGAGATGGAAACCATCCTGGCTAACATGGTGAAACCCCGTCTCTACTAAAAATACAACAACAACAAAAAAGCCGGGCGTGGTGGTGGGCGCCTGTAGTCCCAGCTACTCGGGAGGCTGAGGCAGGAGAATGGAGTGAACCTGGGAGGCGGAGCTTGCAGTGAGCCGAGATCGCGCCACTGCACTCCAGCCTGGGTGACAGAGCGAGACTGTCTCAAAAAAGAAAAAAGAAAAGAAAAGAAATGTTATTTTTGATGAAGAACTTATATTTCAGAATGATCTTGATATGTAAAAATGTAGTTGATCTTCCATTGTCTTTTCTAGTCATAGGCTTTCATTCTCTTTGGATCTCGACCTGACAGGACAGATGGGGCAGGAGTAACATTGTTTTTCCTGTACTTATTTATGGAACGTATTTGGTGTTCTTAGTCATCTAAACAACTTGAAATGAAAATAGCAGTGTCTATGGTATTTGCTCAACTTCAAATACCTATGTATCGCAGTGTCTCATTTTGGAATAGTAACCACTGAAGTTCAGTTCTTTGACCTGTATTTGATCTTGTGCGTGTGTGCGCGTGCATGCGCGCACACACACATGAGAGACGAGTCTAAGCTCTGTCACCCAGGCTGGAGTGCAGTGGTGCGATCTCACCTTACTGCAACCTCCACTTCCTGGGTTCAAGCGATTCTCCTGTCTCAGCCTCTGGAGTAGCTGGGATTGCAGGCGTTCACCACCATCCCTGGCTAATTTTTGTATTTTTAGTAGAGACGGGGTTTCACCACGTTGGCCAGGCTGGTCTCTAACTCCTGACCTCAGGTGATCCACCCACCTCGGCTTCCCAAAGTGCTGGGGTTACAGGTGTGAGCCACTGCGCCCAGCCTGACCTGTATTTGATCTTGCAGGGTCA